>NC_000001.11:231184121-231335636 GCF_000001405.40 Homo sapiens
CAACCAGCAGTTTGCCAACTGGGGAGACTCAGCCTTCAGTATAAAACAAAGGCACGTCTGCCAGAACAAAGAGAAGGGCTATCCTGCATAGAAAAAGTTTCTGCTTAGATTCTAATCCCAGTTCCCATTGCATCTGAGGGATGCAAGCTTGTTCAGTTCTGATTTGCTGATGTTAAAGTTGACCACGGGTCACATTTCATTGGTCAGGTTCAGGTGGTAGAATGAGGACGTCGGCAGCAGTTGATTCTGGCAGTGTGAGCAGGAACAGACAGCTAAGAAGGCCCCAACATTGAGCTACTGTTCGGCTTGCACAGGGCATGTAGGGAACCTGCAGTAGGCAAATGGCTTTCAGCGCCACTCAGAATTCAGACCCGGATAGCCCCTCAGGATCCATCTCGAAGGGCTGGCTCTCTCAGGGTTCACACAGGCATGTGCCTACCCCTTGTCAGGGTGAAGGCAGTGGTACTGGAGTCCTAATTCCAGCCCTACCAGGCTGTGCTCAGTGGAGAAAAGGCAACTTCTCAAAGCAAAATTGGGATACTGTTATAGAGGATAATGGAAGGTCAACAGCAGAAAAACAATGGTCCCTGCAGCTGTCGGGGAAGCTCTCTCTGGGGTTCTCATTCTACCGAGAACCACCATGAGTAGAGTGCCAGTCCCTGAACCCAGGGCCTTCCATGCACACCATCATTAAACCTTGAGGCAGGCCTTTGGGGTGGGTATCATCACCCCAATTCACACGTGAGGACACGAAGTCTCACAGAGGGCAAGAAACTAGGTCACGTAAAATTAGGGTTTGAATTCAGGGCCCAACCCTGAAGCCCAGCTCTAAGGGTTGCTGGATAAACACCCAGCAGTGCTCCTGAATGGGTGGCCGGCAGGTTGGGGAGGGTCAGCTTATTCTGCTTGCAGGGCCTAGGCTAGTGTGGAGCTGAGCTGGTGCCTGGACTTCCAGAGAGCAGGGCACTTCGGTCACCATCTGCTGGCTCCTAAATCCGAGTTGCTGGCTCAATGGGAAGTGTGTGTTGTCCAGCCAGCCAGCCTGTACTCCACGGCGTCCATTCCTGCACCTTCCACCCTTCTCAGGATTCCCAGAGCCTTTATCTGAAAACTCCCTGTGAGAAAGGAGTCTCCCCTCACCCCTGGACCAGCTCTCCCTCCCACCCTCCTACACTGGAGGGATCTGAGAAAAGAAAAGGAAGGAAAGTCAGAAGGGAGAATGGCTCTTGTTTTCCTCATCTGAAGTGGGGAAGAATCTAAAACAACCCAAACAAGTGGAACCCAGGAGCTCCCACCACGGCGGGACCCCCAGGAAGTCTGTGTTCCAGCCCCCAGTGCAGGACCAGGGAGTGAGCCGGGATGAACAGGCAGCGAGGGGAGGCCACATCGAGAGTGAGAAGTGGGATCCCTAGTAGGAGACACAGAGGATGCCTTGGGCTGCAGCACTGGGACCTTTGCCTAGGGGAGCCCAGACGCGTCCTGCCCTTTTGCAGCTCCCCAGAGCACACAGCACGAAATCAGTGAATTCAGAAGACACTGTTGAGTGCCCGTTCTGCACAGGCTCTGTACTAGGGACACAAAGATGATTGAACGGCTCACTCTGGAAGTCCTGATCTAGTGAGGGACACGGTCAAGTAGATAAGTAACTAAGACCTCAGACAGATGATGGCGAGGGCCACAGTCGGAGGTAAGCGAGAGGTGATGGCAGAACAGAGATGAACCACAAAGTTCATGGAGTCTGGGGGGAAGACTTCGTGGAAAAGGAGGATTTGAGTTGGACGTGGGCAAGCTGAGCTAGGACTGGAGATGAGTGTGATAAACGGCCGTGACAGCCGGGACAAGGGCTCATAACTAGAGGAGACGAGAAGGAGGTGGGTCTTCTGGAAGATAGGTGCTTGGGTTGCAGATTTTCCCAGGGAAAAAGAAGGGGATGTTCCCCGTGAGCAGAACTCACCTCTCTCCTGATAGGCGGCTGGCAGTCGCTTGCTGAATGAATACATCGGTGAATGGATGAAGGGCTTGACAGCCAGGCTGAGGCGCTCCCTCTTTGTTCTGCATGAATCACAGCAGTGGAACTCTTGAGCCCAAAGGGCCAGAAGGAGAGACAAGAGTACATTCTGGCAAAAGCAGGATTTCTTCCTGAAGGAGGAGCACATCTCTAGTTGGAACAGGACAAATCGGGCCTGACCTGGATTCCTGGTTTCAGCAGCGCATCCGTGGACCTCCTTTTAGTCCCTCTGTATTCTTTGCTAGGGTTGCCAGAGCAAAGTACCACAAACTGGGTGGCTTAGAACCACAGAAATATATCGTCTCACTGTTCTGGAAGCCAGAAGACTGAAATCAGGGTGTCGGCAGGGCTATGCTGCCCCTGAGGGCTCTGGGAAGGACCTGCTCCGGCCTCTCTCCCAGCTCCTTGTAGATCCTTGGCAGCATAACTCCAATCTTCACGTGGTGCTTTCCCTAGCACCTGTCTGTCTCTATGTCCAAATCTCCCCTCTTCATAAGGACACCAGTCCTGCTGGATTAGGGCCCACCCTAATGACCTCATTCTAACTGAATCATCTCTTCAAGTACAGTCACATTCTGAGGTGCTGGGGGTTAGGACTTCAATGTCTAAATTTTGGGGGACACAATTCAGTCCGTCGCCCTTCCCCTGAGGCTGGTCCAGGATACAGGCTTGCATTGAGCAGTATCTCCAACCATTTGAAAATGCCAGGCAGCCTTCCCCAGCCCAGCACCCCAGAGGCCTAAAATGAAAGCTTGGATGATGGGAAGGTGCTTCTCAGGCTGTCTGGGCAGCTTTCATCTTCCTGCTAGAGGAAGGGGACTGCTTTACCCGCACATCCCACGACATCCACGGCTGCCTCATCAGCAAGGCTAATGAGGATGCCCATCTCACAAGCATATGGATCTCGACCAGGAGATCAATCTAAGTCTAAAAACAGAAAGCTGAAAGCTTCCCAGGCAATGGTGTGACCAGGAAGTCGTAGCTGTGTTGTTGGATCCCTCTTTATATTTCACCTGGGAAGACAGCGTTTAAGAAGATGAAGGAAAATAGCCACATTTAAGCAACAAGGGGCAAGAAAGAAGATGCAGGGAAAAGACCTGCCTCTGTTGGCCCCAGGCTCCCCAAGTGGGGAGTAGGATTTCGGGATAAAAGGAGAAGGAGATCATCTGCCTGGCGGAGGAGTGTGCCTCAGTGGTATCCGTGCCTCCCTCAGGTGGTGCTTAGAAGTCAATTTCTCTGCTTACCCAGGAGCCTCTACCTTTTAATTTTTTTAAAAAATGAGTCATTTACATTTCTCATTTATTTCTACTGTTCTGCCAACAGATGAGGGCATTTTTAACTTATTAGGCATTATTATCAGCCACAGGTTAAAAAAAAAAAACAATACCTTAGCACTGAGGGGCAGATAAAAAGGTGAGAGAAATCCCCTGTGGTCCATTTCACAACCTCCTTTGTGCCCAATGATGGTGTGAAACTCTCAGTGAAGCTTCGATTCCTGTTTTAATACACGCCCCATCTCTACTGTCTCCCAAGTGGGGCATCAAACTGCAGGAGGCGGAGTGGGAGAGGCGGGGTGGGAAAGGCGGGCAGAAGGAAGCCACGTGGCTGGGTAGCCAGAGGGACAGCGGGCAAGCTCTCTCTGATCCACGCCAGGCACAAAGGAGCTGCTGTAGTGCTTCTGGAGAGAGACCCAGGCAGGCAGATGCTTGGTTAGGCTGTGGGAACAAGAAAGTAGCTCAGCACTCCAGACGCCTAAGATGAAAGCTTGGCTGATGGGAAGTGACAGGAGTGAATCTATGGGATCTCCCTTCCTAGAGAAAAGCAAGTCCTGTTCTTTCGTGTTCTCTCCCAGAGGAGAGCTGCCTGCACTTCCCTGCCCTGCCAATCCATTTTTGCTTCCCATGCTCTCCCACTCTCACAGAGACATCTTTGTGAGAGCGTGATCTATGACTGTGTCCACATAATCCCTTCCACCCCTCCATCACACTGGGACCCGTGTTACATGGCACCATATTGCTATTCAAGGCAGTCTTGGTTGCTTCTGCCTCCCCCAGACACCTTGCTCTGTGTGGGACAGGAGCAGGAGGAGGTGGTGGTCAGTGTCATCCTCCCACATGTGTCCCCTGCAGTGCAGGGACAAAGCCCAGACTGATGGCAACGTTGCTTTATCAACATTCGCAAAGTGGCTGTGGAGGCTTCCTACACAGCTGCACATTTGAAATCCTAATGAGCTGGAGAGTGGAGCTTGGGTCTGATGAAACCATCATTGGCAGACAGGCAACCCTGCCCAAGCACACAGAATGCCAGGGACAAGGGTCCCCTGGAGAATAAAGATGCAGCTGGAAGATGGTGGGTGGTCTCAGCCCAGCAGCCCTGCCTCCGAGGGATTTTAATGGGAAATTAGGTTTTGTCCTCCTTCCACGTTGGTTGAACATCCAAAGTGCAGTGCAATGGAGTGCAAAGAGCATCGACTTTGGATTCAGAAAAATCTGGGTTTGAGTCCTGGCCACACTACTTACTAGCTGTGTGACTTTGAGCAAATTACTTCCCCTCTCGAGCCCATGCTCCCTTCTGTAAAATGGTGTTAATATGGCACCTCCTTGCTAGGTTATGAGGAATCAGATAAATTCGGCATGTAAAGAGCTCAGCACTTAGCAAGCTGTCGGTTGTTATTCTTATTGCTATTAATGGGAAGTCACCAGTTGCTACTGATCCTGTCCCACCTCAGGAGAGGAGAGGCCATCAAGTCCAGGTTGTGACTGGGTTCGGGCAGTCAGACCTTTGTCCTGTGGCACAAAAATGACATTGTTCTCCACAAGATCCACTTTTCTGGCCTCAGCGGGTGGATCTGTGTCTGGTGGATGTTGGTTCTGTGATGGATCTTGTCCTGAGAACTGCCTCATGGGCCCAGTACAAAGCTGACGATCCAGGTAGAAACAGACCCTCAATCAGGCACCATTTATAGTGGGTCCTGTGTACTAGCCTCCGGGCTCTGAGCTGGGGATGCGACACTGGATAAATCCAACGTGACTTCATTGAGTGCACAGTCCTCTGAGCAGCAGACATTGAACAGTTCTGTGGCCACATGTGAAATGAGGTTTTTAAAAATGATAAATTTAATTGCCAGTCATAGCAGGCTCAATGATGGCCTCCAAGGACGACATCCATATCTTTATTCCTGGAACCCATGTAAGGTGAATGTTACCTTACATGGCGAAAGAGCTTTGCAAATGTGATAAATGTGATGAAGTTAAGCATCTTGAGATGGGGAGATTATCCTGCTTTAACCTCACAATCATTGTGGGTCCAATGTCACCAGAAAGGTTCTTGTAAGAGGGAGATAGGAGGATCAGAGTTAGTCATAGGAGATGAGGATGGAAGCAAGATGTCTTAGTCTTCAGGATGCTATAACAAAATACCATAGACAGGGGGGTTGATAAACAAAAGGAATGTACTTCTCACAGTTCTGGAGGCTAGGAAGTCCAAGATCAGTGCCTAGCAGATTTGGTGCCTGGCAGGACGTTTTCTTGATTCATAGATGGCATCTTCTCACTCTGGGGCCTCACTCTGGGGCCTGTTTTATAAGGGTTCTAATCCCCTTCATGAGGGCTCCACCCTCATGACCTCACCACCTCCCAAAGTCCCCACTGCTGATACCACCTCTCCTGGGGTTAGGATTCAACATATGAATCTGGGGGAGATGCAAGCATTCAGACCATAGCACATGAAGTTGAACGATGCCAGGAAGGGGCCGCAAGCCAAGGAATGTGGGTGACCTCTAGAAGCCAGAAAAGGCACAGAAGAGGATTCTCCCTTAGAGCCTCCAGAAGGAACCAGCCCTGCCCATACCTTGATTTTAGGCTTGTAAGACACATTTTGGACTTCTGACCTCTAGAACCATAAAATGATAAATTTGTGTTGATCTAGGCTACGAGGCTTATGGCAACTTGTCACAGCAGCAATAAGAAACTAATGTCCCATAGGAACCCATGACAGAGTGAGCCTGGGGATTCAGGGAAAGGCAGATCCTCCCAGAGAGTTCTCTTCTTTTGCAACAGCCCTAGATGAAGGCAGTGGTGGCGCCTTCAAAGAGATCTAGTCTGTGTTGACAGAGTCGTGGCAGCAGGCTCCATGTAGGGGTTCTGAGAATTGGATGTGGCTTGAAGCACTGAACAGAACATTGGATCAGCATCTGGAGAGCCCCATTCCAGTCCCAGCTCTCCTCCTTACTGGCTTAGCGACACAAACACAGGGAGCTGCAGGGACAGGAGCTGATCTTCTGAGCTGCTTTGCCTCAGGGGATCTCCCCCCAGCTCTGGGCCACAGCCACTGCAGAGAGAGGCTGCCTGGATCAACCCCTGGCTCCTAGTTCTTCTACCAATGACCCCTTCTGTTTCTGGGGGGTCACCTTCAGCCTGCGGCCCCCGGCGTAACATACCAGGGGCTGCCACCCAGCATTGCTCCCTTCGTAGCCAATGCTGAGCTGGCTCCTCCCTAAGTGGACATCTACCCAGGGGCGTCCCTCTCCCCTGTGCCCTTACCATCAATCCCTCATGCTGCATGGAGCAAAGTCTCTGTGGCCTGGATCCTCAGGGCGGGGGACTGGATCCTGGGAGCGGACTGGGAGCGGGGAAGCCGGTGGGGTTGGGGAATCCGGGAGGTCTGGCTGCCACTATTTCATGGGAGAAGGGTCTGCCCAAGTCTCCCTCTCAGGACCCTCCTTTGTCCTATTCTTTCCCCACTTCCAGGGTCTCCACGTGCTCACCTCCTCCCTCTCTCATCCCTGTGAGTCACCTCCAGTGACTCCATGGGTCACACCTTGTTTCCAGTCTCCAGGCCTGTTGCTGCATCTGCCTCAATCACAGGGTGATCAAGGCTCCCCACCATATTTCTGAGCCTCAGTTTAGGCTGGACGCTAGGGAAGTTATATTTATTCATCATCATTTTTTTAAGAGACAAGTTTTCACTCTGTCACCCAGGCTGGAGTGCAGTGGTACAATCAAAGCTCAGTGCAGCCTCAAACTTCTGAGCTCAAGCAATCCTTCCACCTCAGCCTCCTGAGTAGCTGGGACTACAGGTGTATACCACCACACTCAGCTAATTTTTGTATTTTTTGTAGTGACAGGGGTCTTGCTGTGTTGCTTAGGCTAGTCTAGAACTCCTGGGCTCAAGTGATCCTCCCGCCTTGGCCTCCCAGAGTGTTGGGTTTACAGGCGTGAGCCACCGTGCCAAGCCTGGAAGTTATCTTTATTCTGGTTACTGGGCTCTTGGAACCTAGGCCTGGCCATTGAGAGAAGACTAGAAAACAAAGCCGCTCTCCGCGGACTGGCAAGGGGTGTTGAGATGGTGGGTGGGGGGCTTCCCCAGCTGTTGGCAGGTTGCTCAGTAAAGGGGGAGAGCAGGGCAGGGCAGAGGAACCCTCTGGTGTGCAATAGAGACAGGGCATCAGGAGCGTGGGGCATCAGAAGCCTCATCCAGTGTGACTAAATGTGAACCAGGTCAGTGGCGGCAGTTAACCTAGAAATAGTTAACACCCAGAAGTCATAAAAAGCGGGTCAGTCCTCAGAGTAGGGTCAGACTGCTGGTGCCCGGGACCATATGGGGCTCCATGCCCTAGAAACAGTAGGTTTGGAATGACCACAAGGCCATTTTAATTATGCCCAGTGTGGGAGAGGATTGAGACTTGAATATCTCAGGGAGCTAGTCAGACAAAAATCTAGAGCAAAATCAATTCACTGACACAAATATTTATGGAGCACATTCTACATGTCAGGTACTATGCTGCCTACCTTGTGGCACTCCAACTCTGCTCAAGGCAGAGATCTCCAGCGTGCAGTGGGGCAGCAGGGCAGGGAGCTGATGCAGCTTTCCTGGGCCACCCATCTTTAGAGAGTGAGAGCCAGGCAAGGTGGCTCAGGCCTGTAATCCCAGTGCTTCGGGAGGCTGAGGCAGGAGGATCGCTTGAGGCCAGGTTTTTGAGGCTACAGTGAGCTATGATTACACCACTGCACTCCAGCCTGAGTGGCAGAGAAAGCTCTCCAGATCTCCATCTGTCTCTCTCTCACTCTCCCTGTCTCTCTCTCTCTCTCTCTGTCTTTGATACAGGGTCTCGCCCTGGGCTCCAGTGATCTTCCTGCCTCAGCCTCCCAAGTAGCTGAGACTAGAGGCACATGCCACCACACCTGGCTTATTTTTAAATGTTTTGTAGAGACAACAGCTCACTATATTACCCAGTCTGGTCGTACTCATTATGTTGCCCAGGCTGGTCTCAAACTCCTGGGTTCAAGCAATCCTCCCACCCCGGCCTCCCAAAGTCCTGGGATTACAGGTATGAGCCACTGCTCCAGAACTCCATCTCTTAAAAAAAAAATCGTTTGTTCTTTCACTCCAAAAACCTTTGCTCTTTTTCCACTAGAATTATCAGGTCTGATTTCCACAATGCTATTCCCTGAGTGAGGAGAACTGACTTGTGGTCATTCACACACAAAGGACTGGGTTGAAGAAAAGGACCAGTGTGTGCTTATGAGGACATCCCTCGACAGCGGCTAGCCCTCACACTGCCCATTTTGGCTCTTCCATGGCTGCAGACCAGGGCACAGGGCCCTCACGTGGCTGAGCACATGGCAGGCCCCAATGTGGCGTGCATTGAGGTGACCTCACCAAGGGGGCATCAAAAAGCAGTGGAGGGAAAAATTAGATGGCAAGTCTGATGGACCTGGAAGCAGTGTCCGCTGAACCGTGAGACTGTCCCCCTTTCAGCCAGGCATTAGCCTGCGGTCACGGGTCTCCTTCAAAACCACTCTGTTTTTGGGCTTCTTGCCAAGCTCCTTGGTCTTCTTGCCAAGCAGGAAGAAGGTCAGCAGGCTCTGGGGAGGGCTGGGCTCCTGGAAGGCTGGCGCTGGCTGGGACAGAGCCGTCCTGGCCCCTGGTACTGGGCAGATGGTGCGTGACCCTAACTACCCTGCCTCTCAGGCAGAAGCAAGCTTGCTGAGTTCCTCCAGGAAGGTGCTAGCCGCAGTGATGAATCTGCAGGGATCTATCCCACTCTTTGCATGCACCTCAAGCAATTATTTTGCTTTTTATTCAGCCGGGGAGCATTCTTTGAGCTCCTACTTTGTGCAGCACAGTGGGATAGAAATGTAGAGACAAAAGACAAAGTCTCTCCACTGAGGACTGTATGATGAGTGGGAGGTGCTATGAACTGAATGTTTGTGTCCCTTCCAAATTCATACGTTGACGCCTAAATCTTCAATGTGCTGATATTAGGTGGTGGAGCCTTTGGGAGGTAATTAGGTTTAGATGTGCTCACAGCCCCCTCTGATAGAATTAATTCCCTTAAAAAAAAAGAAAGAGACACCTGAACTCTCTCTCAAGCTCTCTCTCTCTCTCTCTCTCTCTCTCTCTCTCTCTCTCTCTCTCTCCTCTTGGTGCACACACCAAGGAAAATCCATGCATCTTAGTCCATTTGCATTGCTATAAAGGAATATCTGAGTCTGGGTCATTTATAAAGAAAGGTGGTTTATGGGGCTCATGATTCTGCAGGCTGTACAAGAAGCATGGCCCCAGCATCTGCTTCTGGTGAGGGCCTCAGGAAGTTTCCACTCATGGTGGAAGGCAAAAGGGAGCAGGCATCACATGGCAAGAGAGGAATTGAGAGAGAGAGGAGGGAGCTGCCAGGCTCTGTTTAACAACCAGTTCTCGTGGGGACTAATACAGTGAGAACCCGCTAAGCAGGAGGGGAGGACGGTACCAAGACACTCATGCGGATCCACCCCTGTGACCAAATACCTCCCACTAGGCTCCACCTCCAAAACTGGGGATCAAATTTCAACATGAGATTTAATGTGGCCAAAAATACTATATCCAAACCATGACACCACGTGAGGACCTAACCCAGAAGAGGGCCCTCACCCTGAACCAACCGCACTGGCACGCGGATCTCACACTTCTAGCCTCCAGAACTCTGAGAAATCCGTGTTTGTGGCTGAAGCCCCAGGTCTGTGTGTTCTGTTGCTGCAGCCCGAGCTGACCAAGAGAGGAGGGGCCAGCCACAGCCCCAGGGGGCCCATGCTTTGGGTGGGAGTCTTGGAAAGGGGTTGCTATTCTTTCCCTGTCCCTGATAAACTTCAACTTGAAAACTCCTGTCATTAAAGATATCTTCCAGGGCCTGTGAATGATGCTGACCCCTCAGCCTCCTTTTGAGGGTGAGTATCCTGGGATGGGTGGAGTTGTCCTGGGCTCTGCACCCCACTAAGGATGTGGCAAAATTAAGGCTGTCAGGGCAGAAATAATTTGATAAAGGTTCATTGGAAGCCAAGTGTGAGGCTCGACTGGGGAAGACACACCAACAAAGCTGGGCATGTTCCAGAGCCTGTCACAGGTTGGAAGGCTTATCTAGAAAGTGAAGGAGAAGGGAGAGCTCCTCCTATCAGAGTTGTCCTTTTCCATTGATGGCTACAGCACAGAGGTTACATTCATTGGCTACAGATGACAACATACAGGCTAACATTCCATGTGCAAGGCGATCAGTAAAACTTTGTGATTCAGAAACAAATGTGTCATTTTTATTTTGAGACACAGTCTCACTCTGTCACCTAGGCTGGAGCACAGTGTCATAATCATAACTCACTGTAACCTCAACCTCCTGGACTCAAGCCATCCTCCTGCCCCAGCCTCCCGAGTAGCTGGGACTACAAGCACACACCACCATGCCCAGCTAATTTTTAAAATTTTTTTATAGAGAGAGGGTGAGGATGAGGGAGGAAAGCGGGGCCGGGGAGTGCGGCAGGGAGGTCTCTCTATGTTGCCCAGGCTGGTCTTGAACTCTTGGCCTCAAGCAATTCTCCTGCCTCTGCCTCTGAGTAGCTGGAATTACAGGAATGAGCTACCCCACCTGGCTTCACTGTCCTTTTTGATGTCAGTAGGTTATGTATTAATCAGTATGTCAACAGTTTGAGGAACTCACAGTAAGATTTGAGGGCCTCGGGATAAGAGCCTTTTCTCAGAGACAGGATGTAAGCCATGAATCACGAGGCCTTTCCCAGGAGGTTAATCCAGAAGCCTGCCAAATGTGACCTGTAGGTTATCAGATGGGTGTCAAACCTGTGCTCTCCAGGACTAGCCACTGGCTAATCACACATGGCAGTTGCAACTTACCCTAAATAATATGAAAAGTCCAGCTCCTCAGTCACATTAGCTACTTCAAGTGCTCAGTACCCACAGGCAGCTAGCGGCTACCGTCAGGGACAGAGCAGACCTGAGACGCTTCTGCCATCACTGTATATTCTATGGGATGTTTCACTGCCTAGGTGCTGGCAACAGATGGTGGTACACTGTGGGCCAGCTATGGAGTGGAGAGCCTAAACCCACTGAGGTGGGGCTGGGAGTGGTGAGGCTCATGGTGTAGGAAAAAGCTTCTCCAAGGAGCTGCACCTCCGCTGATCCTTAGCCTAAGGCTCCTGCTCTCTCTGAGCAGACAGCCTAGACCTTGACCTCTCCTTGCGTGCTGGTGCTCCTGGGGACCGGGCCCCCTTCCTTGTATTTCCACCTACTCCCTGTGTCTTTTTGTGGGCTTCCTTTGCCATCTTCTCCATAGGTTTTCAGTGGAGGCTGCACTTGCACAGTCCAGGGGATCTCAAACTGCATCAGAACCCCCTGGAGGGCTTGGTAAACCGCAGACTCCAGGGCTTCACCCACGACCTCTGATCAGCAGATCTGGGGTGCAGCCAGAGACGGTGCACTTCAACAAATCGCCCAGTGATGCTGATGTTGCTGGTCTAGAACCACACTTTGACAACCGTTGGTGTGGTCTAAAGAATCCCATTCACTGATTCATGCATTCAACAAATATTTATTGAATGCCACCATGTGCCGGGTACTCTTCCAGTGCCGGGATAAGCTGTGAGCCACCCAGCAAAGCCCTTGTCCTTCATTCTAGGACATGGAGATGGACAGCAAACAAGTTTTCTAGGTTGGGTGGTGACGACTGTTAGGAGGAAGAATAAGCCAGGGGAAGGCGAGGGGGATATTGCACAAGGTCGTGAGGAAAGTCCTCACTGACACAGTGACGTCTGAGCAGAGACCTGGGAGGGGACTTGGGGGAGAAGGAGACCCTGGCCCTTCTGACTCTGCTTTGTTCTATCCTCAGCTTTTTAATGTGGAAAATGAGAGTCATGTAAAAATCAGGGTCACAGTCTGGATGGGCGTGATGGCTCACACCTGTAATCCCAGCAATTTGGGAGGCCAAGGTGGAAGGATCACTTGAGACCAGGAGTTTGAGATCAGCCTGAGCAACACAGCCTCCGAGACACCATCTCTACTAAAAAATGCAAAAATTAGCTGGAGGCTGATTTGGGAGGATCACTTGAGCCTGAGAGGTTGAGGCTGCAGTGAGTCATGATTGAGCCACTGCACTCTAGCCTGGGCAACACAGTGAGACCCTGTCTCAAAAAAAAAAAAAATCAAGGTCACAGTCTACTCAATAGCTAGGTTTTAAAGACAAATTCAATTGTGTGTGTATGTGGTTCGTTACAAAAAAGCCTGGTGCCAAAAGCCATAGATTTGAGCTCAGCTTGCAATTTCACCCTTGGGCCACAGCAACTGATCCTCATGCTTCAGAAGCTTCTGCTGGTCACACCCCTCTCTGCAGGGTGAGGAGTCCCCAGGGCTAAGGGTACCAGGCTAGGAGCCTGTATGCCCCTTTAGAGGATGCCCTAGGATTACCAGTCCATACACCTAGTCCAGTTCCAGGACCCACAGCCCCCTTCCTGTCCATCCCTCAGGGCATACCAGGCCCCAGGGTTTGCACCCCAGGCCAGGAGATGACTGTGTAGGGATGGGGTGGACGGAACCTGACCTGGGGTCTGGAATGTCCATACAGGCATGTACTGATTATGGATAGAGGGGGCCAGGCCAAGCCAAGGACTCTATTTATCTTCTTGTCTTGGGCTCTACAAACATCAGGGGCAGACCTGTTTGCTTCAACCCGTTAGCTGAGTGCTCCTTACCTCTATCCAGCTTTGGGGATGAGAAAGGAGAGTGCAGGCCAATCTACCACTGTTGGAAAAATAAACAAATGTTGTAGAGATCATGGGTCAGTGGTGGTCCCTTCATCAATGAGAACAGCAGATGCGTGGGATCAGTCCTATCCCCTCTTATAAACATAAGCTTTTATGATGAAGTGCAAATTTTCTGTGCCTTTCACAACTAATTTTTCTTTTCAACATGTGATATCTTTTTCAGGCACAACTATCTCAGGCCTTAAATGGAGTTTCAGATAAGGCAAAGGAAGCAAAGGAGTTTCTGGTTCAGCTAAAGAACATATTGCAGCAGATCCAGGTGAGCACAGCTCTGGCGTCGGGAGAAATACTCAGTGTTGAAAGTTTGCACGTTGTGCATCGTATTAAGAAGAAAGAGGCGGGGCACGGTGGCTCACACCTGTAATCCCAACACTTTGGGAGGCCGAGGCGGGCAGATCACCTGAGATTGGGAGTTTGAGACCAGCCTTACCAACATGGAGAAACCCGTCTCTACTAAAAATACAAAAATTAGCCGGGCGTGGTGGCGCATGCCTGTAATCCCAGCTACTCTGGAGTCTGAGGCAGGAGAATCACTTGAACCTGGGAGGCGGAGGTTGCAGTGAGCCGAGATTGTGCCATTGCACTCTGGCTTGGGCAACAAGAGAGAAAGTCTGTCTCAAAGAAAAGAAGAAGAAGAAGAAGAAGGAGAAGGAGAAGGAGAAGGAGAAGAAGGAGAAGAAGAAAGGAAAAGTCTTGTAGCAAGCATTTTCTCAGTGATGGACATTAGAAGGTTTATGTGTCCTACCCTATAGCCTTGGGTGCTGAAAGTGTCACATATTCAACTCATTGGCACACAAGTGACACCTGATACAGGAAAGGACTTTTACATGGAGCCAATTAGAGAGAGCTGGAAAGATGTGATCTAGCACTCTACGTGCCATGTCGTCGTCCTTTGTGGCATCTGTATATGGTGCTTTTGTGGCCGAATATGCCCATGTCATCAATGCATCAAAATATAAATGCATCATTTTCTAAACAAATGTGTTTACTGAACTCTTATGCTGTGTCATGTACTGAGCCCAGCACAAGATACAAAGATCAATGAGGCACCATGTGTGCCTCAGGGTCTGTCTATAGGGGAGAACGTGCACACACAGGTGCTCCTGTGTGAATGTGCACACATAGAGGAACTGCTCATAAGATGAGAAAGCATTAACATATCTGGAGGAATAAGAGGGACTGAATTCTTTTTTTTTTGAGACAGAGTCTCACTCTGTCGCCCAGGCTATAGTGCAATGGCACGATCTCAGCTCACCGCAACCTCCGCCTCCCAGGTTCAAGCAATTCTCCTGCCTCAGCCCCCTGAGTAGCTGGGATTACAGGCATGTGCCCCTACACCCAGCTAATTTTGTATTTTTAGTGGGGACGGGGTTTCTCCATGTTGGTCAGGCTGGTCTCCAACTCCCAACCTCAGGTGATCCACCCGCCTTGGCCTCCCAAAGTGCTGGGATTATAGGCATGAGCTGCCGCGCCGGGCCTGTTCTATTACTTTAAACACACATACACACACACACACAATGTATGAGATTATGCTGTGAATAACGTGTATCCTGACTTTTTTTCTTTCTTAACAGTCTCTCATGAGCATTTTCTCATGGCATTAAAAGTGCCCTATGAACAAGATTTGAATGACTACAGAATATTCTGCCATATGGCTGTGATGAGATTCATAGTACCTGCCTTAATTCATATAAATATTGTCTCTAATTTAACAACATTATAGAGAAATCTAGGATGAACTTCTCTGAAATATATCTTTGTCTATAGCACTCACCAGATTTTAGCATCTTCCCCCTAAAACTCTTTGCTTCTTCCCAACCAACCCCCAACCTCTGCCAGGAAAACGGACTGGACTACGAAGCCTGCCTCGTTGCTCAGTGTGATGCCCTTGTGGATGCTTTAACTCGTCAGAAAGCCAAGCTGCTCACCAAGGTGACTAAAGAGAGGGAACACAAGTTGAAGGTAGGTACCTGGGGGACTGACACATTGAATCCCTGCCACATCCTCTGCACCCAGCGTGGGGTGGAGCACAGAGTAGGCACTGGGGAAATAACAGCTAAGTGAGTGAATGAATGAGCTAATGAATGAATGAGGCAAGGAAGGGATGCACCAGCTGGTTCGGTTACATTCATGTGACCTGACAGAGACCAATCAATATGCCCTGTGTCCTGAGGGTTTCAAGTCAGAAGTCCACCCTCTCCCTCCCTGTTTCTGTCTAAGGGACTATTCTTGTTCTCATTTTGCAGAGCAGAAGTGACCAATGACAGTGACTAGCCCTGACCCTGTTCAGGTCTCCAGCTCTGTCCCCTTCTTCAGGTTCTCTCTGATATTTCATGTACTCAACAGTCAGCAATAACATACACAGCCAGTTCCCACCAAGGGAAGACGAGACTCTCCCCTCACGTCACACTGAGTCCCTAACTCAGCCAGGCACCCATGAACTCTCTGAGTTGATGACGGGCTGTCACTGTCTGAGGAGCTCCATCTATGCTAGAGACATTTCATAACTGGACCAGAAAATATTACTGTCAAGAAAAGGAGGAATGCATGCTGGAGTTGATCCCATGGTTCATAAGTGAGGGGGCTAGGACCATTGCATTATCCAGGGCCACTGAGCGGTCGGAAGCCAGCCAAGAAGCTGGTGGCTGATTGTATGGAGAGTTCCAGATTATGCTCTTTCTCTGCATGACTATCATGAGTTTAGAAAGGTTTCTGTGTTGGGTGTTGTAGCCCTGCTTGTTAGGAAGTGAGTCCACTTATTTCCCAGCAAAGAGGACACATGGAGCTTAGCAGCAGAGCTGAGAGAGGAGCTGGTGCAAGGTGGTCCAGGCCAGCGCCGCCTCTTCCAGGCTGTATTGGCACTAGTTCTCTGACTCTTGCGGTGGCCTGCCTGTTCTTCCTCTCATGAGACAGTTACTTAGAGGAGTCTTTCCATTGCAGATGGTTTGGGACCAGATCAATCACTGCACATTGAAGCTGCGTCAGTCCACCGGACTGATGGAGTACTGCCTGGAGGTGATCAAGGAGAACGACCCCTCCGGGTTCTTACAGGTGAGCCTGTCCCTGGAAGACACAAAGTGGGCTTCCTCCAACTGTCCCACTGTTCCCCAAATCAGCCCAAGTTCTAGGCAAGATCCTTTCACGGCTTGGATTGAGTAGATTCTCCTTTGTTCAATGATTCCAGAAGACCTAGGCTCTCACCTTGGCTCTGACTCTCACTAGATGTGACCTAATTTTGCAGCATGCATGAAACGAGGAGGTGAAATGACATCATCTCTAGGCCTGAAATGCCTCACTGCAACATTTTCCCCAAAAGGACAGTCTTGCCAAACAAGCTGGACAGATTGCACCAGAAGAAGCAAGTTAGCAGAATCCACATGGCCCATTATCTCAATGTGCAGAGTCCTGCAGGCCTGGCTGGTGACCAGCTGCCTACAGACACAGTGCAATTTTCTCGGGGCCATCTCTCCTGCATTCAGGCTGACTCAGGGTCATGAGTATCTCTCAGGAACATGGCAGTGATTCAGCCTTTGTCGGTGGGGAAAATGATGAATCCCTTTGATTATTTCCCAAGAAAGACACACGAGACCCTGGCTCGACAGGGACACGTGCAAATGTCTGATAAGCAGGACTTTCCAGCAAAAGGGAGCAGAACCACGGGTGTGATGCAGTCAAGTTTGGAGCAGAAGTTGCAGAACAACTCAGAAGAAACACACGGGCAGGGGGCAGATGTGGGCTTCAAAACTTTAGGGGTGTGGAATATGCTTTCTTTAGACACTGGGGCAAACTGCTAGTATGCTTCACTTTGCAAAGTACTAGATCTAGGAAGACAGATCTAATGAAGGATGCATTTGTGTATTTAAAAAGCATCTTGCATTTCTCAGTAGTGTTTGCGGCAATCTCTTTAAGCATCAAGTGCTTCTTTTCATTTCATGTGATTATGAAATACGATTGAAACAATATTTCAATGCATTTTTAGACAGCCTGTGCTGGGTGGACAGGAGTCATTTAATCTCTGCCATGGCTCTAGAGCACAACCCTTTTCTGTCTCTGAGTCCCATAGAGACAAAGTCCCTACCTCTTCCTCACCCCTGGCTGCACAATTTTTCCTTTGCAAAGCAAAACCTTAAACTCTTTGCTCCCCTTTAAGATCTCAGATGCTCTGATCAAGCGCGTCCAGGTGTCTCAGGAGCAGTGGGTCAAAGGCGCCCTGGAGCCGAAAGTGTCTGCGGAGTTTGATCTGACTTTGGACAGCGAGCCGCTGCTGCAGGCCATCCACCAGCTGGACTTCATTCAGATGAAATGTAGGGGTGAGCCGCGGTTGGCCCCAGTTCAGTCAGTGCTTCTTTCAAAAGAGGCATGCAGTCTGAGGGGCCAGCTCGGTGCCATAGGGAGACCTGTGATGCACGGAGTGTGGCAGGGTGGGAGAGCAGGAGCGCCAGAGTCACGGACCTAGGTTCAAGTCCCAGCTCAGCCCCTGACAGCCATGTGAGCTGGGGTGAGAAGCACCAGTCAGAATCTGAGGCTTCCCATTTGTGAAAAAGACAATCATTTGTTCAACAACAATTATTTGTTCATTCAGAAGTGCTTGGAAAGTGTCTACCATGTGCCAGGCACTATTCCACATGCTCAAGATGCGGTTGAACAAGTCTACCAACTCACAAGATTGGGCTTACGCTCTCGAGAAGGAAATAGACACTAAACAAATGTATAATAGAATGTTGGATGGTGGCAGGTGCTATGAAGAGGAATCAGAGGAAGGGCCAGCAGTAGATGCCATGCGGTGAGATTTGAGGTGAGGAGGAGGAAGTGGTGGCAGAGGAGGAGGAGGTGGAGGAGGTAGTCATGGAGGAGGAGATGGAGGAGGAGGAGGTGGTGGCTAAGATAATGGAGGAGGAGGAGGAGGTAATGGTGGAGGAGGAGATGGAGGAGGAGGAAGAGGTAGCGGAGGAGGAGGTAGTGGAGGAGGAGGTGGAAGAGGAGGAGGTGGTGGCTGAGATAGTGGAGGAGGAGGAGGTAGTAGGAGAGGAGGGGGGGTAGTGGAGAAGGAGGAGGTGGTGGCGGAGGAGGAGGAGGTGGAGGCAGTAGTGGTGGTGGTGGTGCAGGAGGAGGAGGAAGAGAAGGAGGGAGAAGAATCTAGGCGAAGAGTTTTGCAGGCAGCAGAGGGATAGCAAGTCCAAAGTCCCTGAGGCAAGAATCAGTTTTCTCTGTCCCAAGAGCAAGAAGGTCAGAGGTGAGAGCAGAATGAGCAAGGTGGGTTCAGAGACCCTAGAGGGTTAAGTAAAGTTTGCATAACTTGCCCCATTATGAAATCAGCAAATGCTGGCCAGAACCGGAGTCCTACTCTGCATGCTGCCCCTCCACAGATGTCAAGGGAG
Source organism: Homo sapiens (assembly GCF_000001405.40). Lineage (NCBI taxonomy): Eukaryota > Metazoa > Chordata > Mammalia > Primates > Hominidae > Homo > Homo sapiens. The sequence continues at coordinate 231,202,586 of NC_000001.11, forward strand.
GGGAGGTAAAGCTCTTTGGTTTTTGTGGACTGAGGGCCACACTTGCAGAATCTGTGAACTCAGGAAGTCCTTACCTGCATAATTTGTGGCCATTTTAAACTAAAGAAGGAAGTCTCTCTCACATTGCCATGCTCACTCCCACACAGCTTGCACCTCCAGGAAGGTCTGGAAAGGCCATTTGCCCCAGGTGTAAATGACACGCAGTGCTGAGAAGCAGGAGGAGCCTGGCAGAGTGGATGAGCTGCAGTGGAAGAGAGAGGTCCCCTTGGAAAGTGGGGGTGTGGAGGGAGGGCTTAGGGCCACTCCAGATGCTGCTCCTAGCTGGATGTGGTCACTGGACTGGTCAGGGGTAACTGGACTGGATGGGGTCACTGGCTGGTCAGCGTTCAGAGAGGAAGCGGGAGAGCAGAGCAGCAGGGCCCAGGGGATGGAGCGAGGACTCCTACCAGCTCGTTAACTGAGGCTGGGAGTCAGTCTGTGCTCAGCCAGTCCCGTGCCCAAATTCTTGGAACCAAATTGAAATATGTACTTTTAACAAAACCAGTGTTTCAATTTTCCCTTAAAAATAAAAAAAAAGGTCAAAGTGGACTCTATCGATTTCTAAAATCTCTTGAGCCTGAATAGAGCTAGAAAATTTGTAAACTTCTCCCACTCTCACCTTAATAGGACTTCTGATACAACTGATTCAAATCCTTAGTTCTTTAGGTTGACTGTCCAATACTCGAGACTTTCTTCTGTTGCCTGGATCTTGTTCACTGACCTTGTAAATGCTTCCAGCCAAAGGTTTAAAGGCATCTCCCCTCACCTTCCCAGTTCCAGGCATGAGCTGCAGGCTGGCTGCCACTTAGCTGTGGGCCCTGCGGAGAGGATCCCTAGGGACTTGTGCCACGCACAGGGAGCCTGGACTCTGTTGGAACTGTTGATGCGTTCCTCATGAGTCTGAGTCAAAACCAGTGGTTCTCAGTGGGCAGATGGGAAAGAGGACATCCTTCCTTAGGGCCATAGGCTCAGAGGGGTGGGGCCATCTGCCACGGCCCCCTGAGATTCCAGGAAGGACAACCCCTAGGTTTGAGAAGTGCAGGTCACCTGTGCTTGGCTTCATCCCCAGCCCACCTGGAGACTGACTCCTGGGCGTCTGGGAGTGACTACAGGGTGGCCAGGGAGGGAATTTAGCCTGGCTGTCCTCTGGAGGCCAGGACCCCTGGGATGGGGTGGGGTGGGGGACCGGGCTGGGGCCCTCGGAGGGCTTCCTGCGCTAACTCATGTGTGTCCCCCTCGCAGTGCCACCCGTCCCCCTACTGCAGCTGGAGAAATGCTGCACCCGTAACAACAGCGTCACGCTGGCCTGGAGGATGCCACCCTTCACCCACAGCCCCGTGGACGGCTACATCCTGGAGCTGGACGACGGTGCCGGGGGACAGTTCCGGGTGAGGCCTTGCTGCTTATTTGGCGGGGATTGAGGGTACCAATGCAGAGGCAGGAGTGGCTCCCACTGCCCCAGACTCTGGTTCAGCCCATGGGGACATTGTGTTGCCATCCTGAGGGGACACTGGCCAAAAGGATAAAGAAGGCTGGCGGAGATGGGGCTTCCCTCCCAAGGGCTAGGTCTGGGAGGACTGACACAGGCGTGGGGCTGGAGGAGAACTCAGAGAAGGTGTTTCCTGCACCCACCTCCTTTCCCGTTTACCCCCAGCCCCTCACACAGCAACACATTCCCTCAACGGGTTTTGTCACACCTTGTCTTGTCTCATCCTCTAATTATTTCACCCGGCTCTGTCTTGTCTTGGGAGGTATCATTTCTGGAGACGAGGAAGCACTGTCTGACCCTCATATACCTGGCAAGGTGCTGGGCATATAGAGGATGCTGGATAAATGGTTGTTGAATCGGGACAACATTCTGCAGTCATGTCCCTGCTGATAGACTATCATGGGGGCAATAAAGGTTCTTAGTGAGCCAGAAATGCATCTTCTACTCCCCATCTTCTAGAAACCCTGGAGCAGGACTCCACCCCAACCCAGCCCTAATAGAGCACTACCTCGAGATTTCACTCCGTGACGTTCAGGCGGACATGAATGCCAGAGAGCACAAACTCTGGGCCTTCTCAGATCACCTGGTTCCTAGCCCAGAGAAGATTAAATAAACACTCATTCCAACAAACCACTGCAATCATAACAACACTCGCATCTCTTCTCCTGGGAAGTTGCACCCATTTAACAAACCTTGCCGAAGGTCAACATTCCCTTAGTTTCTCTCAAAGAGATGTACATATGTGTCGTTTTACTTTGTGTTTGAAAAATACAGGAATGTAAGAATTATGGAAATAATTGCAGCACTTCCGTGGGAATTACTGAGTCCCATGTGAATATGGGCCAATTAGGGAGGTAAGATGAGATAGCTTGAGCCGGGTCACTGAGTGCAGACCCCAGTCACTCCTGTTGTGCAAATCAGCCAAGAACTGAAAGAGCTCGTCCACCCGAAACCAAGAGGAGAGCCAGTATTTTTGAAATGGGAAGAAAGAAAAGGCTGTTGGGAAATATTAAAAGAAGCAGCCACAGAGCTTAAAAATGGTCCCTCCTCTTTGAGACATGGCCACTAACAAAAGCTAGACCTAAGGGCTAGGGTTTATAAGGAAGAGGGTCTTACAGTAGGAAAAGTGTGGATGTTGCATGCAGACAGACCTGGATTTGAGCTGTGGCTCCTATATGGATTAGCTGTGATCTTAGACCACATTATTTAATTAGCAGAAAATAATGACATGGGAGAGGCAAAAGGCTATGCATTTGGGGGGTTGAATAGGACAAAGGTAACTTTGAAGCTAATGGAGAACAAGATCAATCTTTAGAAAAGTATCTTTGGGGGCCAGGCACGGTGGCTCACACCCGTAATCCCAGCACTTTGGGAGGCCAAGGCGGATGGATCACTTGAGGTCAGGAGTTTGAGACCAGCCTGGTCAACATGGTGAAACCCCATCTCTACTTAAAATACAAAAATTACCCGGGCATGGTGGCGGATGCCTGTTGTCCCAGCTACTCTGGAGGCTGAGGCACAAGGATCACTTGAACTTGGAAGGCAAAGATTGTAGTAAGTCAAGATTACACCACTGCACTCCAGCCTGGGTGACAGAGTAAGACTCTGTCTCAAAAAAAAAAAAAAAAGGAAAGAAAGAAAAGTATCTTTGAGGCCAGATGCAGAAATGTCTCACCCTTTGGAAAGACCAGAAAACAGCAGCTCCAGGAGGGCTAAGGAGTGGAAGATGCCAGCCTCAGGTGTGGGAGGAGACAAAGAAGTGGATGTGCCCGTGGCTCAATAGTCTTGTTGACCAGGTAGACCTTGGCAGAGTCAGGATGTTCCTGGTCAGTATCCTGGCTGGCTGCAGACCCAGGAAGCTTGCCTCACCAGGACCCCATCACGCCTCGCCGCCTCGCAGGCAGAGGGGCCGGGCAGCCAGTAGTAAGGCATTCATGCCCAAGTTGGTCAAGTTCTGTGAGCCAGCCATGACTGAATGTAATTTCCCTTTTTAATAACTTCTATTTGGTAAGAATTTTTTTTTTAATTTTTTGGCTGGGCATGGTTGCTCACACCTGTAATCCCAGCACTTTGGGAGGCCAAGGCAGGAGGATCACCTGAGGTCAAGAGTTCGAGACCAGTCTGGCCAACAAATAGGGAAACCCCATCTCTACTAAAATATATATATATATATATAAATTAGCTGGGCATGGTGGTGCATGCTTGTAGTTCCAGCTACTTGGGAGGCTGACGCAGGAGAATCACTTGAACTCGGGAGGCGGAGGTTTTGGTAAGCCGAGATCACGCCACTCCACTCCAGCCTGGCAACAGAGCAAGACTCTGTCCCTCAAAAAAATAAAAACAAAAATTGTTTAGAAATGGGGCCCTGCAATGTTGTCCAGGCTGGACTCAAGCGATGCTCCCACCTCAGCTTCCTGAGTAGCTGGGACTACACCTGGCAACAGCACTTTTAATGTCAATGTGTTTCCAGAAGCCATTTGCTAAGAGGAGCTTTCCAAATGCTAGAGGAGCCTGGTGAGCAGCATTGCTCTCTTTCAGGAAGTGTACGTCGGTAAGGAGACTTTGTGTACCATCGACGGTCTTCACTTCAACAGCACCTACAACGCCCGAGTCAAAGCTTTCAACTCTTCTGGTGTCGGGCCTTACAGTAAAACTGTCGTCCTGCAGACATCCGATGGTGAGCATCGGGATCTCTTAGTGGGAAGAACAGATTCATCATTTTATCCAGTGACAACCAGACAGCCACTTGTGGCAGCTATGATGATGGGGTAGGGGTGGGGGGTGGTGCTGGGCACGGCTGGGTTCTCCAAGGGCGTGCCCTTCTGGGACCACAGGCGGGCTCCCAAAGGACAAAGATTGACTCCTAGGGCCAACCCACATTTCATCCCGTGGACCAGGGGAAAGGATGAGCTGCTGAAGATGGGGGAGGGAGGAAGTGCAGGGCCGGAGGGGCCGGTTGAGGTGCATACGCCTCACCCTGCTCTGCACACACAGCTCTTTGCTGCACCCACATGGCCTACAAGCCACGAAAGAAACATTCATTTACCCCATTGTGCTGGACTAAATGTGAAGTAGCTAAGGGAGGCTAAACTTCTCCCACTTCTCAAGGGCTGAGGAGTGAGTAGGACAGTCCCAGACAAGAAAACTCCACGATAGATGCAGTGGGCCCACACCAGTCCCTACATTTGAGCCTTTCTCACAGCGGAAAAGTGCCCTTTAATCCCCAGCATCAGAGCTCACATCCAGTGATTTATACACCTACCTGCAGCCTTTTAGGTCTTGGGCAACAACAGCATGTTGATATTAATTCAGTGGAATTTTGATCATCTGAGTTCTTAGCAGAGAGCAATGAGAGAAATAGGAATCACATTCCAAAGAGAGTTCTGCTCCCCCAGGTGTGGCCCAGCCCAGGCTGCAGAGGCAGTTTCCAGCTCCCCACTGCCTCCAAGAAGAGGGCAAATCGTGCATTCATTGTTATCATTTAGTCCACACATCCTCTGACTGCCACAGCTGGATGGTCTCCTAGAGGCAGGGAGGAGTAGGAGCATGAGCAGATGCTGGTGTCAAAAGGCCCAGCCAGGGACACTTTTCTGAAAATGATGCCACCTGCAGAGTCACTTTGTACACCCCTAGAGGAGAGCTCGCTAGCTTCTGCCTCTAGACTCTCCTGCCTGCCCAGAGATGAGCGGTCCTTGCCCTGTGCATTGTGGTCATGACTTTAGAGTAAGGGACTCACTTCTATCAACCTGGGGGGTTGGGGAGCAAAAGGGGGCACCACCTGATGGGCTGCAAAATGGAGAATTGAGCTTTGTGATTTTGGCCACATCACTTCACCTCTCTGTGTCTCAAATCTCCCACCCATGAGGTGGCTCATCAATATCGATTTCCTCCTGTACTTTTTTTTTTTTTTTTTTGAGATGAAGTCCCACTCTGTTGCCCAGGCTGGAGTGCAATGGCACAATCTTGGCTCACTGCAACCTCTGCCAACCTGTTCAAGTGATTGTCCTGCCTCAGCCTCCCAAGCAGCTGGGACTATAGGCGCCCACCACCATGTCCAGCGAATTTTTTTTTTTTTTTTGAGACAGAGTCTTGATCTGTCGCCCAAGCTGGAGTGTAGTGGCGTGATCATGGCTCACTGCAAGCTCTGTCTCCCAGGTTCACACCTTTCTCCTGCCTCAGCCTCCCGAGTGGCTGGGACTACAGGCACCTGCCACCACGCCCGGCTAATTTTTTTGTATTTTTAGTAGAGACAGGGTTTCACTGTGTTAGCCAGGATGGTCTTGATCTCCTGACCTCGTGATCCTCCCGCCTCGGCCTCCCAAAGTGCTGGGATTACAGGTGTGAACCACCATGCCCGGCCACGAATTTTTGTATTTTTAGTAGAGACGGAGTTTAACCATGCTGGCCAGGCTGGTCTCAAACCGCTGACCTGAGGTGATCCACCCACCTCGGCTTCCCAAAGTGCTGGGATTACAGGCGTGGACCACTGCTCCCAGGCTATTTCCTCCTGTATTTCTAACTGTGAGCATTTGGAAGGGTTTTAGAAACCAAGACCAGAAAATGCATCTAGATTTGAGGTTTTGAGGCCTGAAAATCCTTGGCAAGGCCAGGCTCGTAGGGCTGGCAACTTGGATGAACACAGAGCAGGGAGTGTGTGCATGTGTGTACGTTTGTGTGTGTGTGCACGTGTGTGGTAATCATACAGGAAAGACCCTTCACTTCTGGGTGCCGACTTTCTAACAGAAGCGAATGTGTTTGTGTCTCTGAGCCGGTTAGAAACTACTAGCAAATTCCATCCCCTGACCCTGCTCCTCTCACCTCCTCCCTTTTTAGTGGCCTGGTTCACATTTGACCCCAACTCTGGGCATCGGGACATCATTTTATCCAATGACAACCAGACAGCCACCTGCAGCAGCTATGACGACCGGGTGGTGCTGGGCACAGCTGCGTTCTCCAAGGGCGTGCACTACTGGGAGCTGCACGTGGACCGGTACGACAACCACCCAGACCCCGCCTTCGGGGTGGCCAGGGCCAGCGTGGTCAAGGACATGATGCTGGGCAAGGATGACAAGGCCTGGGCCATGTATGTGGACAACAACCGCAGCTGGTTCATGCACTGCAACTCCCACACCAACAGGTGCGATTGGGCCCCATCCTGCCTCCCGTGGACACAGGTTGTTTGGGAATGAGGGTCCTGAAGACCAGTGTCCCTTCTGCTGTCCCCAAAGCCAGGAGGAATTGAGAGGAGGTATTTTCAGCCACTTTGGTCTCCATTTTCTAGGAGGCCTTCACTCTGCCCATATAGAACTGGCCTGCAGCCCAGATGAGGGTATGTTATGGTGACTCTCACAGCACCCGCACAGATGGGTCTCCCAAGTTACCCAGCGGGCCACACGGTGGTCCTCTGCTGGGATATGGAGCTCGTAGTTTTCTTTCTGGTACGGCTTCACTTTCCTTTTCAACTGTCAACCCAAGCTTGGGTTGCTGCAGGGTGTTAATGGGCACCACTGGGGCTGGTGTCCTCACAGCTGTGACCAGGTCATTGCCACTAACTTGCCTGCAGTGATCCTGGCCACTGCCCTGGTCTCATGTGGGCTTGAGCCTCGGCAGGGCCGGGCCCTTGACAGGGCAGTAGCAGAGGGCATGGCTGGGGTGCTCACTACTAACGAGCCTGCCAAGGGTGCCCACAGCTGTGGCTTTGCCCTGAGACTGGCCCTGGGAGTAGGGTCACCAGCATGGACACAGGAGACTCAGGTCCTGGCCTGTGAAACTACTGGGACCTCTGTTAGGAGGGCAGATGGGGATGGGTCCTCCAGGGCTGCCCCTGAGGCCTGGGCTTCTCTAGGGTGCCTTGGTCTCTCTCCTCAGACACAAAGAAGGCAGTGCCCCCCCAACACCCCTGCACCATAGCTCTGTACTCTTTCTCCTCTCCCAGGGATTTTGTGCTCACACCTGGCCAGCATGTGGGGATGGACGTGGGGGTGAAGAATCCCCAAGGCCAGAAATGGAGAGTTGCAAGTTGCAGCCACCTGAAGCCACCTCCTTGCTATGGAGCCTTGCTCCTGGTCTGCTAAGGGCCATCTCCCCAGCAGGAAGGGGTGAGGAACTTCAAGAGCTGACCTTGACTTCGCTGGGCCCCAGCCCCAGGCAAAATTGACCCGGAGGCTCTCAGTGCTCTGGGCCCACCTGCAGCTCCTATAACAGCCCCTGGGGCACCTTCCCGCAGAGGAAGGACCAGCTTCTTCTTTCTCAGGGAAGCCACGTCTAATCTGGGCCAGGGACTTGCCTGAGGGCCCTCAGGACCCCATCTGCTTGCCTCTTTGCTTGTAGGCAGGGCCCCTTCTCTCCTGAGTCCTGGGGAAGAGGCGGGCAGCTCTGTGCCTCTGCCCGGACACTGCAGGCTGGCCACTCTCCCTCCCACCCACAGAGGGGCCAAGTCCAGGCCCATCAGCTCCGTCTCTGCTTGCTTAAACCAAACTGGCACCCAGATACCCTGTTTGCTGGCAGGAGTGATAACAAGAAGCATTTATCAAACCCTTACTTGTGCTCAATGCTGTAGGAAGCACTCGATGTATCTGAGCTCATTTAATCCTTGCAAAGGTACTATTATTGTTGCCATTTTACAGATTATAAAACTGGGGCTTAGGCTGGAATGGTGGCTTGCACCTGCAATCCCAGCACTTAAGGAGGCCGAGGCAGAAGGATTGCTTGAGCCCAGGTGTTTGAGACCAGCCTGGGCAACTTAGTGAGACCCTGTCTCTGTAAATAATAGTAATTTTAAAAATTAGCCAGGCATGGTGCTGTGTACCTGTAGTTTCAGCTACTTGGGAGGCCGAGGCAGGAGGATCGCTTGTGCCCAGGAGTTCAAGACCAGCCTGGGCAATATAGTGAGACCCTCCTCTCTACCAAAAAAAAAAAATATATATATATATATATATTTTGTTTGTTTGTTTAATATATATATTAAAAAGCCTGGGCTTAGGAAGGTCAGACAACGGCTCGGGTCACGCGGCTAGTTGATACTGTCAGGGTTGAGCCCAGGACCCCAGCCTTGGTTTGTGTGGTGCAGACTCCCCAGCTCTCCTGGCCATTGGCCACCACACCCCTCCCAAGGGCTGCGGAGCACTTCTTGGGCCTTTGCTGTCTTTGACAGCCCCTTGGTGCCACCTCAGTAAGAAAAGCAGAAGGGAAGTGAGGCCATGAGAAGGTAGAGAGAACCTGCCCCTGTCTGCATGTCCTCCCACCCTCGGATGTGGATCGGGTAGGGTAAGCGCTATCTGGGAGGAAGCCGAGGCAGCCGGGAAGTTGGACCCCAGAGCTGACTGGGGGCCTGAGGCTTTGCTTAGGTTGGACTCATTCCTGCACCTCCCATGGGTCACTACCGCCACCCGGTGGTCGGTGTCCAAATAGCATCAACAGTGCGGTTTTAGTTTCCTTCTCCCACCTGCCGGATCCCGCCCCGGGCACCCTCGGGGGAAACCCTGCCTTCTCCGGAAACACCTGTCTGGGCCGCCCACCAAGTCCTCCTCGGGACTTCCTGTCGTGAATCCTCGCTGCTCACCTTCCCTCTGCCCTACCAGCAGCGTCCAGCAGATCAACTCATTATCAATCTGGAAGGACAAACATGGTTTTCTTAGCAGAGTGGCGCTGCTAAGGTTAAGGCTAAGACCTCAGCCCTGAGCGGGCGCGGTGGCTCAAGCCTGTGGTCTCAGCTACTCAGGAGGCTGAGGCAGGAGGATCCCTTGAGCCCAGGAGTCCAAGACCAGCATGGGCAACATAGTGAGGCCCTCGTCTCTATAAAATAATTTAAAAATTAGCCGGGCATGGTGTGTGCCTGTAGTCCTGTTGTACCTAGGCGAGTTAAGGAAACGCTACACTTTGAGACGAATTAAGAGTCCTTTATTAAGCCGGTGGCCAAAGAGACAGCTAATGCTCAAAATTCTCTCGGCCACGAGTAACGAGCTCGATTAACTTTTATACTTAGGTTTAGGAAGGGGAGGGGGACTCAAATGTAATAATTCTACAGAAGTAAAAACATGCAAGAATCAAAAGAAGCAAAATAGTTACAGAGAGATAAACAACTTGAAAGACAAATAGTTACAAGAAGAGCAACGGTACCAGGTGCAAGGTTCTAAATCTTTCATTATAATTAGATATAAGGTCTATGCCGGACACGAACTCAAGGTTTTATGTTGTTATCTCTTAGAGAAAAATCCTAAGAACTTCATACATTGTTGGTGTTAGTACCTTATCAGTTAATTGGGCTCTTTTGAAATGCTGAGGATCTGTTTACCCAGGCCAACTCCTTACGGAAGGGGGTTAGGTGAGGAGCCTTTAGTGTCTTGTAAATTAAAAGGTCAATTGGAGTTTGTCCAGCCTTCCCAGCTAGAGAGAGTCTTATTTACATGAGAAGCAAGGCTAGGTGATTAAAGAGACAAGCAGGACAAAATTCAAAGTAACAAGTTAGAGTAAAAAGGTTAGGCGTTTCAGTCCCAGCTATTCGGGAGGCTGAGGTGGGAGGATCCGTTGAGCCCAGGGGTTCCAGGCAACGGTGAGCCATGATTGCACCACTGCCTGGGCCACAGGGAGAAACAGCCACTCTAAAACAAAAAACCACCTCAAGGAAGGGAAGGAGAGTCTGCAGGATTCGGCCCATGGGAGAAGATGTGGTCAGCCAAGCCCCCCCTTGGGAGCATGTTCCTTACTTTTATTATAGATTCACTTCCACCGAGTGGATGTGAATTCTTACCACCTACAAAGTACGACGTTGCCAACACTGATCAAGAGCACAATGGACATTCTCAACGTTCCGCTATTGGTCACCTGAGGGATAATGACTGCGACAGAGGACTTGATTTCAACTTCAGCACCCTTCTGCCTGCCATACGCTGCTTTTTGAGGGACCCTAGGATGTTTCTGGGAAGATGAGCCAATGTTGAGTAGGGGCCTTTCAAAATTTCCTGAAGGCCTGGATGTCCACATCTTCATCGACCTCAGCATCCTCACTTGCCTAAAACAGAAAAGGGCGCCAAGTCAGTTATTTTCTTTGGCAGGAAAAGGTGCCTTTCTTACCCATTCTCCATGCTCCACAGTTTCAAATGGGACCTTCTCATCAAAACCCGAATTTTCTAGTGCGCAGATCCCAGATGCTGTCAGAAAGAGGGGGTTGAACAGCCTGGAGGTGTTCCTCTAGGGGAGTCTTCATCATGGCCTGTTAACAAGGTGTGTCCACTGTGAGAGAAGGCTCATGTGCCCAGGAGAGCACCTCACCACCACCTTGGGGACTATGTTTAAGTGAGGTTGTTCCCAGCATCCTATATATAATTTTCTTGGCCGGGTACAGTGGCTCATGCCTTTAATCCCAGCACTTTGGAAGTCCAAAATGGGAAGATCGCTTGAGCCTAGGAGTTCAAGACCAGCCTGGGTAACATAGTGAGACTCCTATCTCTACAAAAAACACAAACAAAATTAGCTGGGTCTCATGTCATGCGCCTGTAGTCCCAGCTACTCGGGAGGCTGAGGTGGGAGGATCTCCTGAGCCTGGGAGGGCGAGGCTGTTGTGCACCGAGATGGCGTCACTGCACTCCAGCCTGGGTGACAGAGTGAGACCGTGTCTCTAAATAAGTAAATAATTCTCCTGAGTTATCACCTACATCCCAGGCTGGGTGTGGTGATGGTCTTCCTGGGGACTCTCTTCCCAGGACGGAAGGTGGCGTGTGCAAGGGGGCCACCGTGGGCGTGCTGCTGGACCTGAATAAGCACACTCTCACCTTCTTCATCAACGGGCAGCAGCAGGGCCCCACAGCCTTCAGCCACGTGGACGGGGTCTTCATGCCAGCCCTCAGCCTCAACCGCAACGTGCAGGTACACACCTCCCCAGGGCCGGACCTGGTCTGGCTGCTCCCAACTGTTTGCCACAGGTCTCTGCAGTGCCCTTGGGCAGAGTGGGCCATAAAGAAGCTGACCACAGAGCCTTCCCAGACAGAGCTTATCAACTGGCCTGCCTTGGACATTTCCTGGAGGCGTTCCGTTCTAACCTGTTCACTTGGGACACCCAGGGGCCCTAAGGTGGCAGCTTCTGGAGACGCAGACCTCAGGACTGAGCTCAGTCCCTGGGGAGTGCTGGTAGCTCAGGAGGCCTGAAACAGAGAGAGACAAGAATGAGAGCCCAGGAGGGTGTGAGGAAGGGAGAAACACGGAGGTGCCATCCTTCGTCTTAGTAGAGTCCTCCTCCCCTTGGGATGGGGAGTTGGAGTGTGGGGAGCAAGGTCCTGTTTTGTGGCCCTGAATATTGAGGAGTCTACATCAATCACTGATTGATCGATTCGATCCTCTACTCATTTGCAAAAGGGATTTGTGGCAACCTAAAAGATAGGCTTATGGCCGGGCGCGGTGGCTTACGCCTGTAATCCCAGCACTTTGGGAGGCCAAGGCAGGCGGATCACGAGGTCAGGAGATCGAGACCATCCTGGCTAACACGGTGAAACCCTGTCTCTACTAAAAATACAAAAAAAAAATAGCTGGGCATGGTAGCGGGTGCCTGTAGTCCCAGCTACTCAGGAGGCTGAGGTAGGAGAATGGCATGAACCCGGGAGGCGGAGCTTCCAGTGAGCCGAGATCGCACCACTGCACTCCAGCCTGGGTGATAGAGCGAGACTTCATCTCAAAAAAAAAAAAAAAAAAAAAAAAGATAGGCTTAGGCTTGGCCTGACATGGTGGCTCACGCCTGTAACTCCAGTACTTTGGGAGGCCATGGCAGGAGAATCGCTTGAGCCCAGAAGTTTGAGACCAGCCTGGGGAATGAACAAGACACCATCTCTACCAATGAACAGATAAGCTTTTTTTAATCCAAAAAATAAGAGGTTGGCTATAATTCCTCACAGTTAATAGAATGGGTTTAATAGGAAAGGAAAGAAGGTCATGGCTAGAAAGTAGACACAAATATGTAACCACGGGAGCCAGTGCGTGAGAGCCGTGCTCCTGTGATGGCGTCTACTTTGCCCAGCTGTGGCAGCTCTGGCAAAATGAGGAACCAGTCAGCTGGGTGATTCTTATTATGAGGAAAGAGGTGCAAACCAACATAGCCTTTAATTAGGAATACTGGGGGACGTAATATTCAACAGTCCACAGCAGCCCTGAGCTATTGCATGGATGGCCCTGGAGCCAGCAGGGGATCCTGCCGGTGTCTGCGGTGCTGTCAGAGCCCTCAGGGTCCCTGCGGCAGCCTCTCCCACCCTCACTTGCCCTGTCTTCTTTTCCAGGTCACCCTGCACACAGGATTGGAAGTGCCGACTAACCTGGGGCGGCCAAAGCTGTCAGGCAATTAGCCCCGCTCCAGCTCGGCACTGTGCCTGTGACAGTGACATTCACAGGCAAAACGCCCACCATTCTCACTAAGCTCAAATAACCCACAAAAGCAGGATATGCAAATCATGGGTGCAACCTGGCAGCGTGGAGTGTCATAGAAACACATTTTCTTGGGGACGCAGGGAATGGGTCCACGGGCCATGCTCACAGCTGCCACTGTCAGTGGCAAAGGAAGGTACGTGTGTCACCCTTATTCCACCCAGACATTACGAACACTCCCCAAGAAGGACCTTTCTCAAGGGAGTCAGCATTCGGGCTTCATGTCTATGTTTCCTGCCATCTGTTTTCAAAGCTTGTCTTTTTTTGGAGGGAGAGGAAGGTAGACTTTGAGACTGGCCTCCTGAGAGCGGCAGTCAGGAGCTGCGCTGTAATCCCACGCCCCGGGTGTTGGCCCTCCGTGGGGACCTTGCCTCCTCAGAGTCCCGAGATTGCAGATTCTCATCATGCTGAGAAAGTTATCTTTTAGCTTCTTGGTCCTAGAGTCTTTAGTAGCACCTGCCACTTGCAGACCCAATGCAGGATTGATAGAAAGGGACATTAATCATTCATGCTTGACTTTTGCCTCTCTCACTGAAGTGTTAGAACCTTTTAAAATGGCTTCCTTTATTAATCAGCCAATTGTGTTCTCTCTCTCTCTTCCTCCATCCTTCATTTCTTCTCCCTCCCTCCTTCTCTTTCTCTCTTCTTCTCTCTCTCCTTCCTTCCCTCCTTTGCTCTCTCTTTCTTCCTTTCCTCCTTCTCTCTTACTTTCCTCCATCCCTGCCTCTTTCTTCCCTCTTTCGCTCTCTTTCCCTCCCTCCTTCTCTCTCTCTCTCACACACACACAGGCATGACAGTCTCCTAAAATTAATTCACTCAGTTCTTAGTTCTTAAATCCACGTGAAAACACAAGAATTTTAACAACTATGTCATAGGTCTTCGCCTGGTGATGGCTCCTTTCTGAAACTGGCAGCCCAAGAAGTTAACTGAAAATGCATCCAGATTGCTCTTCTGAGCTGAACCACTCTCAGACTCATAAGCATTTAAAATGGGAGACCCTGGGAAAGCCTGTTCTAGTCAGTCCACCCTATTGTCATTATGAAAGCATCATGAACACAAGTGGCCCCTGTGGCAGGCCGGGACGGCTCTGCCCTGATGCAGTGGGCGGGATCTCTGGGGAAGGCAGGAAATAGAAGGGCAGTATCAGGTACCTTGTCTCCCAGCTTCCCACTGTGAGACTGGGTGTGCCGAGTCTGACCTGCCAGGGCAGGACTCTGGAAACACCAGGCTTCTCCCTTGAGATCCACATTGATTCATCCACACCTCTCAGAGACAGCTCATGGCAGGGGTTTTGAGCCTGCCAGGCTCTTGTTCCCAGGGAACCCTTCCTCTCCTCCCTCCTCTCATCTTCCCAGTCACCTGCCACCTCCAGCTCCACCTGGTAGTAACATTTCTCTCTCCTTTTAAAAAGAATATATTTTGTCAAGCATTTTATTTCTGAGGCTGAGAAGTGACTTGTCAATTTGCTGGACTGGATTTTTATAAAATTCGCCCATTCACCAGCACCAACTGTGCGTCCTTGGTTCTGCCTTCCTGTTCAGACACCGCGCCTGCTTTCTGAGTAACTGCCTGCCGGAGCCATGCAGGTACCCCCCCTCCACTCAGCAGGCCCGACAATCCTACCTCAAAGCTCATGCTCTTGGTCTGCAAGGCTGCTTGGTCCGCTGTCTCTGCAGATGTGGCCGGCAAGGCCAGCTGCCCCGTCTCCAGGAGCTGCTCGGTGCTGTGTTGCAGTCTCTGCTGCGGAGCCTGGGAGCTATCTGCTTCATGGAAGTCTAGGTCTTGCCTCTTCCTTGTCATCTCACCAAGCGGTTTCTGGGTCTCCTCCTCCCATCCCAGAGCCCTGTCCAGAGCTCTTGGTGGTGACACACAAGACCTGGGACCCTGTGTCCTTGCCCGCACCTCTGCCTCTGTCTCCCATATCCCTGCAGCTTCATCCTTAGCCATAGCTCTGGGTGGCCTTTGCTTGGAGCATGGAGACGATCCCTAAAGATTGAGGATGAAGAGGAGCCACCACTTTCCTGGGGCCAAGGAAGCCATCAGCTTTGGGAAGTGTCTAGCTCTCTTCTGAAAAAAAAACAGGCCTACACCCTGCCCCCAGAATGAGAGTGGGCTAGGCAGGGCTGCCTGGTGACAGCAGCTTCTCACAGGGGAGCCCTGGGGAAGGCTGTGGAGCCTCCACCATCACCACAGCCCAGGTCACCAGGTGGCCCCAGCTCTGCAGAAGAATCGCCCATCATTGGAGCACAAGTTGCCTGGGGCTACCCTGAACCTAACCCCTTTGAGGGAGCAGCATCCAGGTCAGGAGAGAAGTGGAAAGTGCAGGAGGGTAATGCCCTCAAATCCGGTGGCCTCTTTCAGAAAAAAGTTCCCTGAAGTCCAGAGAGGTGCAGCCAGGACTCCCTCCTCCCCACTGCCACCCTGAGCTTGGGGGCTGGGATTCTCCCTTTTCTGACTCCTCCAGGAGCCCAGAAGCAATACGGCCGATGCCAGGGACAGCATCCAGCTCTCCTTCACAGACACCTCTCCTGTCTTCAGCACAAAACACCTTCAATGTTCTGACTTCAAAGAGAACGACAGGTCCGTGCCACACACTTGTGTTTTTGAGGGATCAGAAAAGTGAAGAAGGAACTTATCAATTCCTCATGGCCAGGAAGGTCCCGGGTTTCAGAGTAGAAATGACAGACAGGTCATGGAATTCTCATCCACCATCGAATTCCATAACACGTTACATCATGGTGGCACATTTGTACATACATATAAATGATATCAAGATGAGGCTTTTGTTGGGCTGGCTGAGGAGTAACTTGGTGTAAATCTATCAAGCAGTTTCAGTGAAAAAGGAATTCAAAGTAGTTTAAAAATGTCGAGTTCCATTGCATTGTAAATAGTGCCTCTGTAATGTGGTTCTGCAGTTGTTCTTTGCTAGTGAGCAAGCTTGGTCAAAGTGTATGCCTTTTCCTTTTAAAATTAATCTCTTCCGAAAATATCCACTAGCACCTCACTGCATACATAGCATCCCAGCTCCTAATTCAAAGCAGGGGAAGGTATTTCCCCAAAGCCTGCTTTTCCTCTCTCTGTTCTCCTTGGGAAAATAATGATTCCAATTAAAGAGGACACCAGTAATACTGACCCACAAGGTAACTGACCTAAACACTATAAAACTGTATATATTTCCAGGCTGCATCTTCAGCCTGATATGTACTTTGTAGTTGCAACAGCGCCCTAGGTGCCCTATGGCCCACCAAGTTTGAGGAGGGTGGTGCTTTCCGGATTGAGCCTGGGCAGGCTCTGTGGAGCTCACCAAGAGAGCTGGGGGCAGGCCCACCCTCCTCTTTGCGCCCTTTCTCTCCCTCTTGGTGCCCCTGCCCTCCGCCCCACCACAGCACTCTCAGGAAAGGATCAGAATGCAGGATCTTTGTGTATTTCTTCCAGGGATATTTGCATTTAAGCCTTAATTCTCATTGCAAGCGAAAGGCTTGGTCCCCCTGGGAAGGCGGGTTTCGGCACCGGTGGGCAGGTGGTTCAGTGTCAAGGAGGCTGCTGCTGGTCCCATGGCCACCTGCTGGCTTTGAGGTAGTGAGGGAGGGTCAATCCTTAGGGGGAGTCAACATGTGAATGCTAAAGAACACTGCTGCACAGCCCGTGGGGTGGCGCCAGGGTTTCTCAACCTCTACTGACATTTTGCGATAGGTTCTGTATGCCGTAGGATGTTTAGCAACATCCCTGGTCTCTACCCATCATCTGCCAGTAGCAACCCCCAAGTTAGGTGTGACAACCAAAAGTATCTGTCGACATTGCTAGGTATCTCCTGGGGGCCTCCACAAGTTGAGAACCACCAGGTTATGCCAGTGGTTTGTCATGCATGGATCTGTAGAGGGACTGTGGCGCTCCGGCTGCTTTGTTCCATAGAAAGCCTGTATGTGACAAAGCTGCCAGCCTTTATCTTGATACCCAAGCCCAGGATTTTCCATGTGTCTTCAGGGGGCAGGTAGGGGAAAATGGGGTGAGCCACCTCCAACAGATGCCAACCTGTTGGGTCTTGAATTTTCACTCACTGAAGATGCCCCCTGCCCGCTCCCCACTTCCTAGAAAGCAAAACTCGTTACCTTTGTTTTCCTTGGCCACATTTTACTGGAAGCAACAGGAACTTCTTAATGGGTTTGTGGCCCTCAATTGGTTTTTAAAAAAATCTAACAGATCTTATTGGCAAATATTCAAGATGGTGATGCTGGAAAATTTCAGGACTTTTCTTTTGCAAGTGAGCCGGTAGCTGTGTTTGTTGACCACATTCTTTGGCAGTTCCTCCCAGAAGATCAAAGGATCCTGCAGCTTTAACCTAATATCTAGGCTGTAAAAATATGAGGGCAGGTTTCGGGCAGGATGTATTGATCAGACACCAAGTTCAGCCCTCGGTTACTTCCCTCTTTTAACCTGGCTTTAATAGTGATTCATGGTATGAGTGGGGGCCAATCTCTTATCCTTTCTGTGCCTCAGTATCCCCACCTGAAATGAGACTAGTCATACTAACCTACCTCCTCTGATGTATTGTGAGGATTATACAATAACATTTTTAAAGAAAAAAAGTGCAGTCTTTCATCTCTGGCATCTAAGCTAATGATTCCCATTCAGTGACTCAAACCTGTGGGGGGCGTTCCAGTGTTCTCTGACCAGTGTCTTCCATCCAAGCCTCCTTGTGACCAGGGCAAGGAGCTGCCTGGCCTCCAGTGGGTAAAATAGACCTTTAAGACAGGTTTCCTATGACCATAGAAAGTAACACCCCATATGTTTCCATTCCCGGCGAGGCCTGTTTGAATGGCGCTCTGTGTGAGTGCTATGAACAGGCTACCTGTCAGCAGTCTCACTGCGAGGCCTCAAGGCCTCTGTGAGCAGAAGCCCCTTTAAACCAAGGAAGGACACTAACCCAGGCCTCTGCCTTCTTTGTTACCTAAGTTCTGGTATCTAAGGGGTCTCTCATCTCACAGCTTGCCTCCTTTGTTTCGAGGGGTCTCTGCAGTGTGAATGGGTTTGAAATCCAGTGTGGATAGCACGAAGAGATGCAACTGAGCCGAAGTTTTGAAGGCTGGTTGGGCTAGTGGGTCATCATGTCACTTTCAGATGACTGATAACCGCTGGGACTGCTGGGGCTTCACCAGCACGAGCTATGCAGGTTGGGGGAGGCCCTGGCTTTTTCAATGATTGACGTTGACATCAGTCAGGAGCTGGGAGTTGAGACCTCCAGGGAAGTCTCGTCCGGATCCATCGCTCTTCTCTCAAGGAGCACAGTCCTGGGAAAGGCCTAGGGACCTGTGGGCCGGTGATGCGGGCACTGCAGACCAGGCCAGGCCCTCGGGTAAAGCTCTGAGGAGAGGCCAAAACCAGGCTTCAGGTTCGGGAAGGTGACTGCTTGCAACTGCAGTAGCAGGAACATGTCAGGTGCTTACTGGGTGAGACCCAGCCGGGGAAGCCTCTCCAACTCCTCCTAGCCCTGGAAACCAGACACCCAGAGCCCCAGGCTTTCTCGGCACCCAGAAGAAGTGGGGAGCGGGCAAAGCAGAAAACATTCAATGCATGATGTAGGATTGCTGCGTTGGCACTAAGCTGTTGTATTAAGCATGAGAGGTGTTTGTTTAACGTTGGCAAAGGGATTTAACAAGAAACAAAAAGCTTCGCGTCCTTGTTTTGACCGTCGACAGAAGTCCAATTTTCTTGCCTTTCTTTATCCCCATTTCTCCTCCCTCCCCTTCCCCCATCACATCCACTTTCGGTCACTCGTTGTTGGTATTTGGTGGCAGCTCTTGGTCCTATTGCTGTGGATGTTCCACTGAAAACACGGGGGGTAGCGGGGAGTGGTAAGGAAAGCAACTTTTTTCTAATTTTTGTATTGGTATCCACAAGCGTTTGTATTTTTTGAATTGCAAACACTGTGTTTTCTGGTCTTTGGGGGTTAGTTGAACTTTCTGTATTACCTTTTGGAAAACCTGAGTTTTACCACAGTCTTAAGCAGATTTGAAATAAATTCTTTTGACACTGCCAACAACAGAAAGACAAGATGTGGTCTGTAATTCCTGCTCCGTGGTCAGGTCTGCCTTTTTCCCAACTGGCCCTGACTGCCCAGCAGACAGGGCAGAGGCTACAGGAGGGGAGGCCACACGGTCTCTTCCCCCAGTGGGGCTGGGCGTTACTAAGTAGCAGGGTCAATGTGGTTCTGCTTCGCGTGCCCAGGAAATCTCAGGGTGATTACATATGACTCTAAACTAGGCTGGGTGCTGTGGCTCACACCTGTAATCCCAGAACTTTGGGAGGCCAAGGCAGGCAGATCACTTGAGGCCAGGAGTTTGAGACCAGCCTGGGCAACATGGTGAAACTCCGTCTCTACCAAAAATACAAAAATTAGCCAGCCGTGGTGGTGCACCTGTAGTCCCAGCTACTCAGGAGGCTGAGGAGGGAGGATCGCTGGCGCCCTGGAGGTCAAGGCTGCAGTGAGCCATGATTGTGCCACTGCATTCCAGCCTGCGTGACAGAGCAAGACCCTGTGTTAAAAATTAAAAAAATAGCCACGCAGGGTGGCTCACACCTGTAATCTCAGCACTTTGGGAGGCTGAGGCGGGTAGATCACCTGAGGTCAGGAGTTCGAGACCAGCCTGGCCAACATGGTGAAACCCCGTCTCTACTAAAACAATACAAAAATTAGCCGGGTGTGGGGGCGCATGCCTGTAATCCCAGCTACTTGGGAGCTGAGGCAGGAGAATTGCTTGAACCCAAGAGGCGGAGGTTGCAGTGAGCCGAAATCGTGCCATTGCACTCCAGCCTGGGCAACAAGAGCTAAACTCCCTCTCAAAAAATATAAAAATAAAAAATAAAATAAAATAAAATAAAATAAAAAATAAAACGGAAGGCCCGACCACAAACAGCAGGAAGGTCATAAAATTCATTTTTACAAGAGGGAATAGGGCTGGAGATACCTAACAGTTACCATGTGGTTAAGGTCGATCCATGAGTGCAGAGTAGATCATGGGTTCCACGTAGAGATCTGCGGAAAACATCCCAATGAACCCATGAGCATCAAGGAGACTCACCTGCCCCTTGAGCTACACAGACCAAGGCCAGACATGCCTGACCTGAACTCTGTCCTTTGCTGCTTTCTCACCTCATGATCCTCAAGAGCAGCTGTCTCACATGGCCCCCGACAGCCCCTAACACCAGTGACCTATGGGATTACCGAATGGGCTCAGCTGAGTAGGAGGCAGATGCAGAGATTAGACAGCAAATGTTTCTTAGGGCGAGCTCTTGGGATCAAAATTCATGGAGGCCCAGGGAAGGAAGCAGGATTGGATGGAGGGAGATATGGAGCTGCGCAGAACCAATAAAGGCCTCAGCCTGCCACCACACCCGGCTAATTTTTTGTATTTTTAGTAGAGACAGGGTTTCACCGTGTTAGCCAGGATGGTCTCGATCTCCTGACCTCGTGATCCGCCCGCCTTGGCCTCCCAAAGTGCTGGGATTACAGGCGTGAGCCACCGCACCCGGCCTACAAAACATCTTTTAAATTAGCTGGGCGTGGTGGCACATGCCTTTAGTCCCAACTACTCTGGAGGCTGAGGCAAGAGAATCACTTGAGCCCAAGAGTTCGAGGCCACATTGAGTTATGATCGTGCTGGGGCACTACAGCCTGGGTGACAGATCAAGGCCTTGTCTCTAAAAAACTGAAAAAACAGGCCGAGCGTGGTGGCTCATGTCTGTAATCCCAGCACTTTGGGAGGCTGAGGCAGGCAGATTGCCTGAGCTCAGGAGTTCAAGACCAGCCTGGGCAACATGGTGAAACCCTGTCTCTACTAAAATACAAAAAATTGGCTGGGCGTGGCAGCGTGCGCCTGTTGTCCCAGCTACTCGGGAGGCTGAGGCAGGAGAATTGCTTGAACCCAGGAGGTGGAGGTTGCAGTGAGCTGAGATCGTGCCATTGCACTCCATCCTGGGTGACAGAGTGAGACTCCGTCTCACAAAAAAAAAAAAATTGAAAAAACAGAAATTTTTAAAAGCCCAAATTGTCACCATCATCGAAGACCTTTTTAAATGTGCTACAAGCTTTGAGAAGTTGCTGTCACTTTAAGCAAGGGCAATATCATTAAAAACATGTATATGGCTGCAAAGGTGATGACAACTCTGATAGAAATAACATTCACTTGAATGTGGGCACAAAAGTATGAGTTAAAACCATCTGTTACTTAACAGTCACAGGCACATATACTACAAACCTATTTTATTTATATAACTTCTTATGAAGTAGATTTTGTACACATGGTAGGCTAAAAATTAAAACTGCTTTTCCACAAAACTGATAAATTACTAGATTCTTGGTTCTTTCATGATATCATAACATTAAATCATTAAAAATATAAGGCAATTTAATGTAAACTACTAGCATTTACAAAACAGTAAAGTTATAAAAAACTGTATTACAAGCAAATGCACCAAATACCAGTGAACATGAAACAGGAGTGAAGTTTGCTGGAGAACATTAAAAATCACTTTTCAGTGGGTTCACTTCACATTCATGCTGCACTGGGCCTGACACGTTCAGCACCATGAAGCAGACACTTCGGCAACTAGAAATGTTACTTCTGTTTGACTTTTTTTCTAAAATGAAAAAGCAGTCTGTGAAATGCGTGTTAAGAACGATCTATCTAGAGTCGCACAGGGTCCAGGGCCGCTGCAGTTGACTCAGTTGTTCCCATCCTCGTTTTATTTGACAAAGTACTTCATTTGGCCACTCTGGAAGAATTTATTTTCTTGATATCAACTGGGCTCAGAATCAGTGTTCCATTTTTGAATTTTCCAACCTGTCCAATCCGTCCATTTGACA
The DNA here is from genome assembly GCF_000001405.40 of Homo sapiens. NCBI lineage: Eukaryota > Metazoa > Chordata > Mammalia > Primates > Hominidae > Homo > Homo sapiens. The sequence goes on from NC_000001.11 coordinate 231,224,383, forward strand.
AAATACTGGGAGCGGACTTCTTTTTGGATTTCCTACATTTAAAGTAAGAGAAAGGTACTATAAATAGTCAAGCTTACCAACAAGCATCACAGTACCACCAACCAGGCCACTGCAGTCTGGCCTGCAAACTCCTGGTCGCCTGCCATGCACACCCCCCACCCCATACGCCTTCCTGTGGTCCCTGAAACATGCTACTGCCTTCCTGCCTCAGGGCCCTTGCACTGGTTTCTTCTGCAAGGAATGTTCTGCTACCAGCTCTTTCCAGGCTGCCCCTCTTCTTTGTTCAGTTCTCAGCTCCGATGTCACCTCCTCAGACTAATTTCCCAGCTCACCTTCTCCCTGTGGTTTTCCTTCACAATGCTCTCTTTCAGCCTCTCTACAATACTTGCCAGTACCTGATATCATCTTACTTATCCATTTGTATGTTTTGGGGTGTTTCTCTCCCTACAATGAAGCTCCTCAAGGGCAGGGATATCTTTAGTGTGATTACAGCTGTACACCAATACCTAAGACACCCACATGCCTGGCACAAAGAGGCATTCAACAGATACAGATCGGTGGCCAGAACAAATGACCATTTTACAGCATGTACAAGTGCACTAGGAGCCCAAGAAAACAGGCTAAGACAAAAAGAGTCCATTCTGAAACAGTAACTCAAAGACAGAGAAAAAGGCATTTGAACAAAAGCTAACAAACAAGTATAAAGCAACAAAGTCAACATCCCTTATTCATAATTACGGTGCTCTATCTTACGTGGTATGTCAAAGAGCAGGCTATACAGACCCAGACTACGCTGCTGTAGCAGCACTCTTAGAAGTCTTTTCTTGGAAATGTAAACTGCAGCTTTTCCACTAGTCACTTAGAGTGTCGGTGAAAAGTGGAAGATTGGAGAAACTTCCTAATTCAGTTCTCAGGCAGTTGTTTGATCTTGGGCAGTTTACTAAATCCTACTTTGACAAGGATAAATGAGAGACAGTGAAGCGCTCTAATGGGCTAGCAACACCACATACATTCAAGGCGTCCTTGTCAGAACTCATCAGTAGGTTCATCCAGATTGTTCAACCCCAGGACCTGATAAAATCACTCACCTGTCCTCCTGTCCTTTCCTCTTCTTTTTCTTGAAAATATCTGTTTCTTGGGCCTGATTTCAGAATTTAAGATCATATACATATTAGTAGTGGATAATGGGATTCAAACAAAAGGCAAGAGGTTTGTGACCAAAAGTCATTGAGATACCATTTTTAACATTTCTTTCAAGTGGGCATATTAAACATAACAGTCTCAAAGTTTTACCCTAAAACCCTTTCAAGAATGTGAAAGGCTGGGCCTGGCGTGGTGGCTCATGCCTATAGTCCTAGCACTCCAGGAAGCCAAGGGGGGAGGATCACTTGATCCCAGGAGTTCAAGACCAGCCTGGGCAACACAGCAAGATCCTGTCTCAGTTAGAAAGAAAAAGACAAAAGAATGTGAATGGCTATTCCAGGTAAGACTAATAGTCTTACACTGAAAGCTCAAATCTTCCATTTTAGGTGAAAGGTAGAAAGTGTAACATCTATTCCCCTTGTGGTTTTTCATAGGCCCTTGTGTTGTATACAAGGTTATACAACGTAAAATGCAAAAAAAAAAAAAAAAAAAAAAAAAAACCTAAGTATAGAAGAAAGATCAAAGTAGCCTGCATTATTGGAACAGGATTGCTATAGTTTGGATAGCTGACCCTCCAAACCTCAGGTTGAAATTTGATCCCAACATTAGAGACGGGACCTAGTGGGAGGTGTTTGGGTCATGGCAATGGATCCCTCATGAATGGCTTGGTGCTGTCCTCATGGTAATGAGTGAGTTCTCCCTCTGTTACTTCCCACTTCCCATGAGAGCTGTTTGTTAAAAAGAGCCTGGCACCTCTCCCCACTGCTGCTTCGCTCTTTCATGTCTCGCTCTTGCCATGTGATCTCTGTACACATGGGCTTCCCTCTGCCTTCCCTCATGAGCGGAAGCAGCTTCAGATGCTCACCGGAGGCCGAGCAGATGCCAGTGCTATGCTTTCCATGCAGTCTGCAGAACCATGCTCCAAATCAGCCTCCTTTCTTTATAAATTACGCAGCATCAGGCATTCCTTTACAGCAACAAAAACGGACTAAGACAAGGAGTTTGCTATTTCAAAGCAAATCTTGCATGTAAGTACGCCAGATTACTTGGCTGGTATTACTAAACAGAGCTAACTCGAAGAAATGGGGAGCATGGGATCCTTTAACTCTGGTGCCTTCATTGCTCTCCAAGCAGCGGCTTCCGGCATTCCACTGTGGCAAAGAGCATCCATCTTCCCATTCTAGTTGAATAAAGGACAGACCATCACACCTACCAGTCTCTTTTCTTCTTCCTTTGCTGCCTTTTTTTCTTTAATTTGCTCCTGTAAAACCTTGTAATTCACATAACTCTTTTTAGGAGGCTGTAATGAAAGAACAAAGAAACAAACCATCATATTTTATTCTGCAAAAATGTTCCAGTGTCCCTTGCCCTGACTTGCTCTTAGCTTTCCTTGCTCTTGCTTTTTTTGCATGTTGTCTAGTGATGAAAGGTAGCAGCAGCCCCTCACCTTAGCGCCCAGCATAATGGCACGTTCCTGTTCCAGGATTCTCTCCTTTCCTTTTCCATAACCCGTGATACCAAACCGGTGCACTTCTAAACGAGCCTGCGGACACAAAGCATAATCAGACGCAAGTGCATTCCAACAACTCCAAAGAAAAAAACATACTGCCAGAAGTAATGCATTTCAGATCCACCGCTCTGTAATGACAGCGTACAGGAATAATAACTCCACTGTCATGTGGTCAAAGGAGCTCTATGGAGGCTCTCCTACCATACACCATCTCTCACAACATCTTTCTCCTGTTTTTTTTCCTTTGAGACAGGGTCTTGCTCTGTTACCCGCCAGGATGGAGTACAGTTAAAAAGAGGCATGATCATGTCTCACTGCAGCCTTGACCTCCTGGGCATGTGATCTCCTGCCTCAGCCTCCCGAGTAGCTAGGACTATAGGCACGCACCACCACACCCAGCTAATTCTTAAAAAATGTTTTATAGAGAAGAGGTCTCACTATGTTGCCCAGACTGGCCTTGAACTCCTAGGCTCAAGTGATCCTCCCACCTCAGCCTCCCAAAGTGCTGGGATTATAGGTGTGAGCCACCGTGCCTGGCTCTCGCCCACGGTTTTTTTTTTTTTTTTTTTTTGAGACGGAGTCTCACTCTGTTGCCCAGGCTGGAGCACAGTGGCATGATTTCAGCTCACTGCAAGCTCTGCCTCCTGGGTTCATGCCATTCGCCTGCCTCAGCCTCCCGAGTAGCTGGGACTACAGGTACCTGCCACCATGCCCAGCTACTTTTTTGTATTTTTTAGTAAAGATGGGGTTTCACCGTGTTAGCCAGGATGGTCTCAATCTCCTGACCTCATGATCCACCCACCTCGGCCTCCCAAAGTGCTGGGATTACAGGCATGAGCCACCGCGCCCCGCCCTCTCTCATGTTTAACTTGAACAGCTGATACAAAGAATTATCTCTGCACAAAGTAATAACAGAGGCAGGATTCAATGCAGAGCTCTGTAGTTAAGAGCTTTAAGATGCTCTCTAAAACAAGCCATTGTCCATAAAGGCAATAATTTCAACTGAAAAATACCTCTCCAAACACACCCACTCACACTTAGAAACCATTTATCACAGCAGCTTCAAACATAGATCCATGGTTTTAGAAGGAAGAGAAAAAGTCAGCAATACCCACTCTTAGTAGTTGAATTACTTTTTCTTGTCTTTTTTCTTACGTGTTTTTTAAAACATTACAACCACAGAATATACATATCCCCATACTTACCATCGTATCAGTGGCGTTGTAGTCACAAAACCATCATGTATTAAATGAGTATAAAATATTCAACCAAGTGAGTGCAGACCAGGCGTGGTGGCTCACGCATGTAATCCCAACACTTTGGGAGGACAGGCCAGGTAGATCACTTGAGGTCAGGAGTTCAAAACCAGCTTGACGACCATGGTGAAACCCTACCTCTATTAAAAATACAAAAATTAGCTGGGTGTGGTGGCACACGCCTGTAATCCCAGCTACTCCGGAGACTGAAGTCGGAGGATCACTTGAACTCAGGAGCTGGAGGCTGCAGTGAGCCAAGATCCTGCCACTGCACTCCAGCCTGGGTGACAGAGGGAGACTCTGCCTCAAAAAAAAAAAAAAAAAAGTGAATGCAGTATGATTTGCTTAACCATTTTCCCAACTTTTAGACATGTAAAATATTCATTTTTAGATATTATAAAACTGTTAATTTGGGCCGGGTGCAGTGGCTCACACCTGTAATCCCAGCACTCTGGGAGGCCGAGATGGGTGGATAACCTGAGGTCAGTAGTTCGAGACCAGCCTGGCTAACATGGGGAAACCCCATCTCTACTAAAAATACAAAAAAATTAGCCAGGTGTGGTTGCAGGCACCTGTAATCCCAGCTGCTCAGGAGGCTAAGGCAGGAGAATCACTTGAACCCAAGAGGCAGAGGTTGCAGTGATCTGAGATGGTGCCATTGCACTCAAGCCTGGGCAACAAGAGTGAAACTCTGTCTCAAAATAAAAACTGTTAATTTTTATAATACCTAACATCTATACTACATAGTTTGCATGTTATGTTATAAACTTATAATAAATTTAATATAAACATACATTTATAAACAAATACTGTAAATAAAGTTAATTATAAATAATTTAACAATCTCAAAGTACATACTTTTTCTAGGTTAAATTCTTGTGTATCCACATCTCTCTCCAAAACACTAGGATTAGCCTGCTGAGAGAAAAAATTCTTATTTAGATCATCTGTTACTATATCATTATAGTATCTATCACCGAAAGAGTAGACATGTTTTAAGGAACCTGAAAGTGACCCTTTCACACCCACTAGACTGGCTACTGTCCAAAAACCAGAAAATAACAAGTGTTGGCAAGGATGTAGAGAAACTGGAACCCATGCTCTATATTGGTGGGAATGTTTTACCACATGGTATAGGCATTGGGGAAAACAATTATGATGGTCCCTCAAAAATTAAAAAATAGAATGATCATATGATCTGACAATTCCTCTTCTGGGCATATACCCAAAAGAACTTGAAGAGATATTTGTACACCTACGTTCATAGCAGCATTATTCATAATAAACTCAGAAGCAACTCAAATGTCCACCAACAGATGGACAGATACTTTTGAACGTGGCATATACACATGCTGGAATATTCCACAGCCTGAAAAAAGAAGGAACTCCTAACCCATGCTACATGGATGAACCTTGAAGACATGATGCTAAGTGAAATAAGCCAGTCACAGAAGGGTATGTGCATGATTCCATTTTATGAAATACCCAGAGGAGTCAAATTCACACAGACAGAAGCTAGAATGGTGGCTGCCAGGGGCTGGAGGGAGGGGAATGGGGAGCTGGTGTTTAATGGGTATAGAGCATCAGCATCGGTTCGGCAAGCTGAGAAGAGTTCTGAAGATGGATGGTAATGAGGGTGGCACAACACCATGAATGAGCTTAACACCACTGAACTGCACACTTAAAAATGGCTAAAATGGTCAATTTTACATTCATGTATATTTTACCACAATTAAAAAAATGGAAAACAGAAAGAAACCTTGAAACTGGCCCAGATGGCCAACTGTCAAAAGTAATACAAGCATGTTGCTCAAAATCCTAAAGAACAACTAACAGAAGAAAAATGGAGACAATACTTTTTAGGGTCTCAAAGCTTATAAAAGTAATGATGAGAAACTGAGAAAAAAAGAAAAGCTGGTAAGAGAGCACTGCCTGAATCTCACACATCACACACAGAAAATTCTGCTTGCTGGGAAGGTTTAGAAAAGGATGGCTGTGAGCAGGAATTTTAGATGTAAAATTTAGAGGGTAAAACTGCTATATTCAAGTAATTATTTCTTTCTTCCCTCCCATCTGGCCACTAGTGTAATGGGCTAAACAGTTCTTTCAGAAATATCAGATTCCTAGCATGGCAGAGATTTGGTTTATAATTCCTAACAGAAAATGATGTTGCTGCAAATGCCCCCAAAATATGTGACTCTTTATATCACCCTATCTCCTGCCCTACCTGCCAAGAGGTGCCTATCACAACGGCACCATGTGCCATTGACCACCAATGGTGGTAGTCCACCCTGCAACTACACAGTCCATGAGGCAGCCACAATGGAGTCCACTTGCTCTCTCCTTCTCCAAACGGGAGCTGTGCTTCTGCTTAGCCTGGTTCCTCATCCCCCACCCCAGCCCCCACCACTGTATTTAAGGTGTGTGGGTTCAGACAGTCAGTCACTGCATGTTTTCATAGATGATGGCTTCTGACTCCCTATGAAATGACTCTTCAGATGATGAGGAACTCTGCACTTAATTCACAGGGGGGTTATTACGATATAACTGGATAAAGTGTGATAAGTGTGTGGCACAGGGTCCAAAAAACAGCAAGGCTTACCCAACGCTCTTATTCCTAATGGATCTACTGACCATACCATCAGCAGCATCATGGGCATCCACTGTCACATTGGACGCTGACTGGCTCTCCGTGGGCTTGGGGTGCTGATGGTAACAGAGGACGTGACAGCAGAGGACCACTGTCAGGGTCCAGGCGTATGGCCTAGCTCTGTGCTATTAATCACAACAGACGCACTTTCCATTTACTTCATCTTCCTTCCTGGCTTCAGATTTTCTTCAAACCTGTCTCCCACTTGGCTGACAGCATCAAGTGCCTTAACTGAGACCACAGGCATAGCACGGAGGACTCTGTGTGCGCCACTTCCATTTTATCCACACCAGAAAGAGTCTTATTCCTATTCTATGACTGGAAAAAATTCCACATTTACTTTGAAGTTACGATATCTTTTCCACTGCCATGCACATCTAATCTATTTACTATGACCATATCTAACCCCTATAAAAACAAACAAAACCCTGTATACCGTTCCCAGATCTCCAAGATCCCCTAAGATATTTACCGCCTTTTCTAAACATTTAAGTAATTCCTCTCTTCCCTCCTACCCGCTCCACTGAAGTAATGGCTAAATCAAGTCTCTAAGTTGAACATTTCTTTTTCTTTTTTTGAGACGGGGTCTCACTCTGTCGCCAGGCTGGAGTGCAGTGGCGCGAGGCACGTCAGATTTCTAGCAATACTGGAGATGTTATAGATGTTTTTGGCCGATCTGTTACTAGAGATTAGCATGAGAATGGAGCAATTTAAAGAGGATTTCAGCACAGTAATAAAATTCTTGGCCAACTGTATGATAGCTACTATGAGGCTGAAACCCCTGGGCCCTGGAAAGAGACCGGCCTACAAAAGAAAGGAGCAATGTCGGGCCTCTCCTAGTTCCTGCTGTCCCCATCAGCAGCCACGGAGAACACCTAATCCCCTGCACCTTGGCTGTGGGGACACCAGGGCTGAGGGGCCGACTAGACCAAGGGGAGGAGAGAGTCCCTTGGTGGTAGCTCTGGCACAGACACAGATACCTCGGTGTCCTCATCCCTCTTTAAACAGTTCACCAGAAACATCTTAGTTTTGTAGCTATTGATGGCTTTTTGAGAAAGGGTCTGAGGTCTAGATCTGTGCATGTATCAAACACAAACTTTTGGGAAAAAAAAATTCTTGCCTCATTATTTCATAGCTGCTGAGTCCCTATTAGCATGACCCACCACTGTCTAATTTTTATTTTTATTCATAGCTTGAGAATCACTTCAGTACATTATTCATAATACATGACCTGACTTAGAAACCATCAGTGGTCTCCTCGGTTTTCTTTCCCCCCATATTCTCTGCAGTAGGAGGCATTACTGCCCATAGGCAATACTGGGTCCTCCACTACTTCCAGGCACACAGGCGACTCACGCTTCCCCGTCTACTTGATGCTAGGAATGCCTAGGTGGCTTTCCCTGGCCAAAGAAACACGAGCAGAGGGGGTGTGTGCCTACTTCCACGTGGACCCCTTAAGAGCCCTTCATTAACTCCCCTTTCCTTCATTAAAGCAACTAACCACCCTCCAGATGGTGGCACCCCGTCATCCCGGGTCCCTAGGTGAGGATGGTGTGGCACAGGAGACCTGCCTCTGCAAATCCCGATGGCCATGTAACATGAGAAAAATTAATTTTTGTCTTTTAAACCACTGGGATGTAGGGACTATTTGTTATCAAATCACAGCCTAACCTATCGCAACTAATCTAGCCTTACTATCCCACACAAGGGAGAGGGATATGTATGGAGATTCTGAGAACTTATATGCTGGGCAGGGAAGAAGGAAGAAAAGCTAGAAAAAGAAAGAACAGTTTGGAAGAAAAGTGAGAGATGAAGGCAGGCAGTCCACCAGATTCAGCAAACCCGTCTATGGGGTGATTTAGGTATTTTCTCTTACGCGGCTTAGATTTTCTTTCTTTTTTAATCTATTAGTTGAAGTGCCCAACCAACCTGTCTCCAATTAGAGAGAGAGTAGCCCGGTAAACAAATGCTCTTTTAAAAATGCAGACGGCTGTATGAATATTAAGAAGTTTGTTCACACCTTGATGAGCCTAAATTACTTCAGCTAGATTACTTTCTTCCTAACACCCATCTGACACTGATCTACTCAGGAACAGGAAGTCTGGCGTAAAAGTAAGAAGAGGCACTGGAGCATGGAGGATTTCCGGGTGGAGTACCATGCAGTGGGCTACATCCACATTGCGGGGCAGTATGAGAGCTGCAAGAATTTGGGGAACGATCAAAGCTATTTGACTATAACTTGCAAGAAATGTCTCTGTCTGGCGATGGCTCAGAGTCAGTGTACTTGTGTCACTCAAAGGACAAAGAGCAGAGCCTAACCTCACCTATGCTCTCTCTAGTATAAAAGTTATGTACACAGTGTTGAAGCCAGAAAGCCTGGGGTCTGAACCCAACCTTTGGCACTTACTTCAGCTCCATAATCCTTTATCTGGCATCCTTAGGGTCAGGTTCCAGCTTTAAAATTCAGAAGTCTTTACATTTTAAAAAGGCAAAACTGAATATACTGAATATTACAGACCACTTCCAGTAGGGTCCAAGGCAGTAATCCATAATTAAACACATTAATATTTCTGTGGCAATATCTATGAATATTCACACCAAATGAGATGAACAAAAAATTTTTTTTTTTGAGACGGAGTCTTGCTCTGTTGCCCAGGCTGGAGTGTAGTGGCACAATCTCGACTCACTGCAAACTCCGCCTACCGGGTTCAAGCGATTCTCCTGCCTCAGCCTCCTGAGTAGCTGGAACTACAGGCGCATGCCACCACACCCGGCTAATTTTTGTATTTTTAGTAAAGACAGGATTTCACCATATTGGCCAGGCTGGTCTTGAACTCCTGACCTTGTGATCCGCCTGCCTCAGCCTCCCACAGTGCCGGGATTAAAGGCATGAGTCACCGTGCCCAGCCGAACAAAAATGATTTTTAAAAGCTTCATCAGGTTTTTCTGCCAAATAAATCTGCACCAATCTTAAAAGAAAAGGGATCAATCAAATTGTGGTTTCCAGAGCTCTGGGTGTTTGGAATTGCAGATATGGGGCTGTGAGGTTAATGTTTAACTACAGGCAAGTAACTTAACCTCTTGTAAGTCTCAAGCTTCTCTGTGAAATGAAGACAGGTGCCAGGAATTGTGAGGATTGAGACCATAAATGAGTTAATGAACATAAACAAACACTCTCAGTACACCCCCAATAAATATTAGCAATTCGCTATATGCTCAGGGGCGGCCTTCATGTACCTCAGTCTCAGGATGCAAAGGTCCCTTCTGATCTACAGAACACTATTCTATTATGTGTTTCTTATCTCTTTCTTATCTGAGGCCACAAAAGAGGCTAAGGTTCCTGAAACAGGGGCAGTGAATGATTCACGTTAAGATGGCCCAATGCTAGCTGTGGAGAAATGGCAGTGACACAGCTCTAAGGGCTGAGCAACACACAGGTGTGTTAAGCTACATCTGACGCTTTCATTGCTTAAAAGCATAAGAATTTTCTTCCTTACAGGCAGCCTTGCACTTATGAAAGAGTAGGTTTGCCCATTCATTTTTTTGAGATCACTAGTCCAGGCCACGCTATTTTGAACCTGGACCACTGCAACAAACCCCTACATCAGTCTCCTCATGCCTCTTGCTATTGCTCCCTTATAATCGATTCACCACATAGGAGCTACAGTGATCGTTTTAAAATTTAAATCAGATTACCTCATGCCCTTGCATGAAATTCTTTGGTGGCTTCTCATGTACTTAAGACTAAAGTCCCAAGGCTCACTACTGCCTATGAGACCTGGCAAGGGCTGGTCTCAGCCTGTCTCTCTTGTATTAGCACCAACCATTCTCCCTTCTGTCCTAGTCTTGCTAGACTTCTTCCAGCTCCTTGAACACACCAGGCCTCTTCATACCCCACAATGTTAGCAAGGCTGTTTTCTCCCTCCTTGGCTCACTCTTCCCTGCCCCATTCACCAGCACCATTTAATACAGCATTAGCCTGAATGTTACCTCCTGAGAGACCTCCCTGACCACTACATCTAGACCAGGTTCTGCATGGTACTCCAGGACCCTATTTGTTTATAATTCTTTCTAATTATATTGCTCAACTCCAAAGTAGATTGTACAGTATACTCCATAAAGGCAAAGCACTATTATCTTCTTCACTGCTCCATCTGCAAGGTCTGCAGACAGCAGGCACCCAGTGATTGGTGGAATAAATGGAGGAATGAATATGTGATCCCATACTATTTCCAGCCAAATTACTTGTATAGTCACTACATTAAAAATGGGACATGGGCCGGACGCAGTGGCTCACGTCTGTAATCCTAGCACTTTGGGAGGCCAAGGAGGGCAGATCACGAGGTCAAGATCGAGACCATCCTGGCCAACATGGTGAAACCCCATCTCTACTAAAAATACAAAAGTTAGCTGGGCATGGTTGTGTGCACCTGTAGTCCCAGCTACTCAGGAGGCTGAGGGAGGAGAATCGCTTGAACCCGGGAGGCGGAGGTTGTAGTGAGCTGAGATCAGGCCACTGCACTCCAGCCTGGTGACAGGGCAAGACTCCATCTCAAAAAAAAAAAAAGGGACATGATGGCTGGGCACAGTGGCTCTCACACCTGTAATCCCAGTGCTTTGGGAGGCTGCGGCAAAAGGACTTCTTGAGATCAGTGGTTCAAGACCAAGCCTGGGCAACAAAACAAGACCCCAACTCTACAAAAAATTTTAAAATGAGCCAGGCATAGTGGTGTGCCCTATAGTCTTAGCTACTTGGGAGGCTGAGGCAGGAGGATGGCTTGGGCCCAGGAATTGGAGGCTGCAGTGAGCTATGATCACACCACTGCATTCCAGCAGGAGTGACAGAGTGACACCCTGTCTCTAAACATAAAAAAATATATATAAATGGTGGCCAAGTTCCGAGATGACCCCATGAAAACCTGCTTCAATGCACGATGCAGCTTAATCATAGAATTTATAGCACAAGTTCTGGAAAAATAGGGTAATTTCCTGGGTCTAGGCAGGGCCAGCTGGATTGTTGTCCAACTCACCATCCCCTTCTTCCTTTCTCAAGCATTCTCTAAAAATGACCAGCTGATGCTATGATTGGTCATGGAGATTACCATTACCCATCATATATTTTTGCCACCCATGTCTGTTTAACTGTCCTACAATGGCTTAGAAGTTTTTAGAGAACAAGGGCACAACTATACTTTCCCATGTTACACAAACTCAGCACAGCTGGTGTATTCCAATTAGCACCAGTTGGCTGACTACCCTTTAACTTGGCATACCCAGGATATGCCATAAGAACTAGCATTATATTCATGTGTATTTATTTCCACACCGCAATGTCAACATTCTGAGGTCATTTTACAGGTGTATGTGTTTTTAATGTGTCCACATTCTGTTTCCTTAACCAGACACACTCACATTTTCAAAGGACACATTTAAAAAAAAAACAAGAGGAAAGGGCAGAGAGCAGCAATGACAAATGAAAATTTTCATTAAGGTCAGGAAGTTCAAAACGTAGAGTGAGCTGAGGCTCCTGAGAAGAGCCAACTAGAATGCATCAGGGCTCGCTTGGAACGGGAAGCAAAAGACAATTTGACAGACTGCCACAGATGTTCTATTATTAAGCAACAGGGAAATGCAGACTCATTCAATCCCAACTCTTCTGTCTTTTCTATTAAAAAGAAAACTTTCCATTCCAGAAAAAAGAACATGAGGGAATATAAGAGGAAACTGAAGTCTGAGACATTTGAAGAAACAAGAAAGGGTGCCTAAATGCTTTATGTTAGTTGAAGTCTTCAAATGCTGAATTATATTGCAAAGCAGTGCTCACCAACATTTTTCATATCATGACACATACAGAAAATACCAGTATTTGTAGGGTACACTGGGGTACTGGGAGATGGCCAGCTTCGGGGCTCTGGTTGCCCCAAACACCAAGGGAATCCATTTCTTGACCCTCCCGTAACAGTTCCCAGAGCCTTATATTTGGAACATAAGAGTTAAGAAGCTTATCTAGAATCCTAAAATAAAGGTAGACATGGTTACAGATTCACTAATAATCTTTTTTTTTTTTTTTGGAGAAAGGGTCTCGCTCTGTCACCCCCGCTGGAGTGCAGTGACACAATCACAGCCCACTGCAGTCTCGACTTCCTGAAGTCAAGCAATCCTCTGGCCTTGGCATCCCAAAGTGCTCGGATTACTGGCGTGAGCCACCACGCTCAGCCTGCAGAATGCGCTAACGATCTTTGAGGAAGAGATGCCAGCAAGCTTGATATGAAATGCTACCTGAATTTTAGAAAAGATTATACAGATGGTTTTTAAAACCATAAAGATGTGGCAAACACTGGACACTAACATACATTTATACATTCATAAAGAACAATGCAAGCCAAACCATCTTCGTAGTGGGTAGAATTGTGGCCTCTAAAAACATATGGCCATGTCCTACTCCTCTTCAGAACCTGTGAATGTGATCTTACTTGGAGAGGGATCTTTATAATTAAACATCTCAAAAGGAGATCATCCCAGATTCAGGGTGGGCCTAAAGCAAAGAGGAAGGCAGAGGGAAACATGAGACTCAGGGACACAGGGATGAAAACCACATTAAGACGGAGGCAGAGATTATAGTTATGCAACCACAAGCCAAGGAAACTGTTAGAGCTACCTTCTGGTCAGAGGCAAAGGATTCTCCCCCAAAGCCCTCAGAGGGAGCATGGCCCTGCCAACACTTTGATTTTGGACTTCTGGACTACGGAACTGTAAGAGAATACATTTCTGTTGGTTTAAGTCACCATGTTTGTGGTAATTTGTTATAGCAGGCTTAGAAACTAATACGTTCAATCCTCACTTCTTTGTTGATAGACAAAGGTTTGCAGGACGTGGGGGATGTTACAGAAATGGAATAGCAATGAATTTGTCAAAGCCATTATGATATTCTTGTGAATAGATAAATTAAAAACATTTGGGGCCAGGCGCAGTGGCTCACGCCTGTAGTCCCAGCATTTGGGGAAGCCAAGGCGGGCAGATCACGAGGTCGGGAGATCAAGACCATCCTGGCTAACATGGTGAAACCCTGACTCTACTAAAAATACAAAAAACTAGCCAGGCGTGGTGGCAGGCACCTGTAGTCCCAGTTACTTGGGAGGCTGAGGCAGAAGAATGGCATGAACCTGGGAGGTGGAGCTTGCAATGAGCTAAGATCGTGCCACTGCACTCCAGCCTGGGCAACAGAACGAGACTCCGTCTCAAAAAAAAAAAAAATTAAAAACATTTGGAGGAGCAACCACACCTCCCTTGGGGACTGAATTTTAGGTGAGATTTACAAGCTCACTCTGAAAAAGATTACTGCTCAGAAAAATCAAATTGCTTTTCCACCAGCATTGCTTTTCCTCGAGAGCAAGAATTTCTATACATTTGGTTCACTGCTATATCCCAGTGCCTACAACTGTGGCTAGCACATAACAGGAATGCCAGAAAGAGTTGCTGTAAGAGTTAACTCAGCAGGCCTGTGTTTACCAAACCCTGCACATTCCCAAGAAAGTCCTATTTTCATGACTGGCAGTTGGCTGCCTCCTGAGAATTGAGCAATTAGAATATTCTGCCTGATCAGAGTGTTTTTGCATACCTGAGGTCTTGAGCCACTGCTGTACCAAGTTTTCCCAGACAGTTTATACTAGCAATGTGATTGATGGTGAATACCTGCTTTTCACTGGAGGTCTAGAACTTGAATAACTAAGGTCAGTCTGTAGGCCTACATGACTGATAAGGGCTATATGCTGAGTCTTGGGTCCTGTGAGTCCTTTTGGCAAATCTGCAGGCCTGAGGATAGTCAGGCATTCCTGCCACAGTCTAAAGAGCTATTCACCTAATACTACAATACCAGGGGGTTCACCACGTATATATAAGCTAACCAACTCATTACCTTTGTGTTCTTGTTATGATCTGGCGTCAATTTTCTTTTTTTATTGCTGTGAAATTCTACCACTTCTACTTGTTCCCTATTGTTCTTTAGGGAAGAGGGAGGAACTGCAGCAGCAAGGATCTCTGGTCCTGTGGGGGTCCCAGAAGGAGCACAATGCCGCTCTTCTCTAAGTTCCTTGAAGAAGCTCGAAGCGCTCTTCCTCTGGCCTCTTATGAGAGAACCAGGTAGGGGAGATGGCTCTGCTGCCAAGGCCGCTGAAGCCATCACATCTCTCTTCTTGTTTTCCCTTTTCTTTATGATCTTCTTCTGTTCTGTTTCACCTTCTGTACCTCCTGTTTGTTCAAACACAAGAAGGAAAATAAATATTTTCAGTCTTAGCTATCATCAGTATCAAATCCTACGAATGTATTTGTACATATTCCAGGGCTATATGCACCTAGAAGCACACACAAAGAAATAAACTATTTGTTTTCTTTCAAATAAGTGTATTTGCAAAATGCAGAGAATCCAAAATGTAGTCATCTTTTCCTAGGTAACTATGTCTTTGACCCTTATTAGCACAATCACTTTAGTCTCCACTTTGGTTCCTACTCAAAGTGTCATCACAGCAATAGTCCCCAGGGCTGGTAATCCCAATTGGCTTTATACTAAAAATATCAGGCACTGCAGCCACTGTTTCTTTTTAACACTTTCTGGGTTACAGGAACATGGAATAGTCTTCCTATTTTCTTTCACAGTTAGGAATTAAGATGAACCTAAGACAACTGGCTCAATTTGAATGCCTTTGTTTTCTATTAATTCCTCTTTCTATATTTCACTTGTTGAAGCTCTGACCAGTCACCTGAAAGTTCTAACCAGAATCCTAGGCATCCTTACTCACATGTATTACAAATACCACAGAGCTCTCTAAATTACCAGCTGCTGATTTATGCTTGCTACTATTTGCTTAATCTTTTATACAATAAACATTTAAGAGCCAACTAAACTTTGGCATTAAGGATATAAAAATGAATAGACACATTCAATGCCTTCAGAGCTCCTACCATGATTTCCAGCCTGTGTTGACATGAACTATATTATTTTGCAGAATAGTCTTTTCCTCTAGATTTTAAACTTCTCAAGGTCAGAGACTAAGTCTTCTCTGTCCTCCAATATGTCCAAGGGCACAGAAATGCTAGTTAATACAAGCATGGGGTCTGGGGCTAGAATCAGAACCCAGGCTCTGCAAAAATTACCAGTCAGACAACCTGCATCAGGTTTCATGAACTTCTAGTACTTGTTTCTACATCTGCAATCATGGATTTATGACAGTGTCTATTTCATGAAGTTGAAAATTAAATGAGCAAATACACGAAAAGCATGTGCTATATGGCAAGTTCTCAACAGTTTTAACTATTATTCCTACTGTTTAGGTGAACTTAGAATTTTGAGCAGTCATTCCAAAATAAAAATAGCTTTTAAAATATCACGCTGTAAATTTAAGAAATGTGTGTTGTCCTGAAATCTAATGATTTTCTTTGGTGCATGTGCAAAGGGTGTCACCTTCTCCCGGGAAAGCTCTTCAGAGTATGAGGCACTGTCTTCCTACTGACATGCCATGCGACTTTAATAGGCTCTTTTATTTTCCTTTTCCCCCATCAAGACAAAGAACGGAGAGTAAAAGATCAGCGCACTTGTTTAAAAAAAAAAAAGTCGTGAAAAGGACAACTCGCCAAGGACTATGATGTCTCTGGAGAGGGACACACAAGGATGAAGCTGGTGTATTATCCAACAGGCCCGAGGCCCCAGAGCGAAATGACACCATCGCACCAGGGTCAGGCAGGTCTTGGGGGTGGCATGGGGAAAGGGGACTTCCCAGGGCTCAAGAAAACGTGGAAAAGCGGGCTACTTTTAAATCGGAAAGCCTTGGTGCTTCCTACAAGCAAGTAGGATGGTCCCCACACTTGGGGACGAGTTGGAAGGTTTGATGAATAACTCAGCAGAGCCCGGTCGAGGGGTGACTTCCGATGGAGAAATGTGTTCGCTACTGGAACCAGGTGGGACGAAGGGTGCTTGACATGCAAGAACCTTTAGCCTCAAAGCAGAGGCCAACCCAGGACGGGCAACACAGGAGACCCACGTTCCTCAAATCTGTTCTCCACGTGGGCTCCTGGGACCCCGCACTCACCAAAGTCGTAAAGGTTCTGGAGCAGAGCGTCAAGAAGTGTCGGAGAACTGGGAGGCGTGGAGGACCCCGGCCCTTGCTCCTGCGACATTGTGGGGTCAGCCGAGGAATCAACCCTCATTCTGCCGCGCTGCACCCCCGCTTCCGGGTTCCGCGACTGCGCGCATGCGCTGCAGGGCCCTGCGCGGCTTCCGTCCTGGCTGAGATGGCGGCGCCCGGGATCCTGTGTAGCGGCTGCAGAGGGTGCCGCCGCCCTAGGCGAAGTAGGGCCGTCCTGAGCGAAAGAACCGCCCCCAGCAGGAGCACCACCACGGCTTAGCAAAGAATCCCAGACCCCGCCCGGGAAGGCAGCCGCACCATGGAGTCTTCCAGTTCATCTAACTCTTATTTCTCCGTTGGCCCAACCAGTCCCAGCGCTGTCGTGCTCCTCTACTCGGTAGGCGCCCAGGGAAAAGAGGCCCAGAGCGGAGCCGCGCGAAATAGTACCCCTTTCTCCCAGTCCCTATTCCTCCGGCCCACCACCCTTGCCCAAAAGAGCTGGCCCCTAGGCTCCCGAGGAGGGGTTAGTTGGTTGGATTGGTTTCCAGGACAACAGTGTATCGCTGTGTGTCTGTGTGTGCATGCTTTTGGAAGTTTCTACGGATTATGGTTCCTTTGGTTCCTTTCCACTTTTTCCTTCTCTTTCTTTCTATCAGGCCCTGGGGCCTTCAGAAAGCTCCTGGACACGAGAATGAGGAATGAGAATTGGAGTCTCCCCATCTCTAGCGAGGGCATGTCGAGCTACCTTTTGGGCAAACCTGAGAAACTTGCGGGTTTGACCCGCCCTGAGATAGCCTGTGGCTCCGCACCCCGCCCTATGCTGCTGTTATATTCCTGGGAGTAGAGCACTTGGCTTGTATGTGGGAATAGAGTTTTAAACACTTCAGGAAAATTTAGAACTTCTAGACATTTTTATTGCCTGTTCTTGTCTTCCAGTCATTATTGTACCTTTTCCACAAATCATTTTGGAGGACAGCCAGCGCCACCCAGCTTCTCTCCCGCTTGTCTTTTTTTCCTCCAACCCCCTCTTCCTCTCTTGGTTTTAACGGGTCTTTTTGGCTGGCAGATGTTGGTCACCCACGATTTTCATGAAGAAATTATGAGATGGGAGCTTTATAGCCTTCAGGATTGCACAGACCTGGGGCAACTGGTTTGGTTTTTGTTTGTTTCTTGTTGTTTTTAACCACTAAATTAGTTTTTAGCTACTTTAGGAGAAAATGAAAGAATTCATTTTAAAAGCATATTAGCATATCCTGGTGATTACTGTCCAATTTTGGCTTAAATGTAGTGTTCATTTGTGCAGAAAGGTCAAAACAGGGATAACACAGCAGAGCAAGATAAACACCCCAGTTTTGAAAGAGAATATATGGGTTCCTTCAAATTGAGACACCAATATTCTTTGGAACATGGAGAAACTTCTGTTCCCTCTCTATCAAGACCTTTCGGTTTCTGATTGCTAACTGCCTATAAGCCTTATTATTTAGATATATCTCTTCATTGATCTTATCTTCCCCACAGTTCTGTGGTGGATATCAACTTTGTTTTCTGACTCTGCTACTCCAGAGCAGGCACGAAGGGAAGAGGGTTGCTGTGCAGATCCAGCTTTTAACATGTAGCTTTTTAAGCTCCCAACTGGTTTGTGAATTGGTTGGAATTTTCCTTTTGTACATTAAAGGAAGGAGTTGGTTTTGTTTGTTTGTTTGTTTGTTTTACTTCCCCTTTACCAACGGTTCTTTAATAAGACTTGAGTCCACTTTTTCATGTGAAAAACTATGGCAGTTGTATCTGAGCATTCTGTAGTTCTGATGCTGGACAGCAACCCACTCTTTACTGGTAGTTCTCACTACTGTTTTGTGACTGGATAACCTTTACTTCCACGGTAACCTTACTTTTTCTTAGTACTTCAGGCTGTTTTTATTTCCCCAGCTACGCTGTTATTGTGTAATATTCTGATCTAAAAGTAGCACTTTAGAAGCGTAGAAGATACTGCTGATTGCAGCAAACATTAGGAATATATACAGTATCCTACTCATTATTCTCAGTTTCCAAGATATAGAAGTTACAGATGCAGGCTCTGCCTTTAAGGGCACAAAAAGTCATAAAAGTAAACAAACAATCACAGTTAAGTATGGTAAGGGCAATGATTGAAGCATGCACAGCGTGTTGTGGGAGAGACAAGAAGGGGCACCTGACCAGTTTGGGAACTTGGAGAAGGTTTCTAAGAAAAGGTGATATCTAAGCTGATCTTCCTTTTTTGTTTTTGTTTTTGTTTTTGTTTTGTTTTGGAGACAGCCTTGCTCTGTTGCCAGGCTGGAGAACAGTGGCTCGATCTTGGTTCACTGCAACCTCCATCTCCGGGGCTCAAGCGATTCTCCTGCCTCAGCCTCCCGAGTAGCTGGGATTTTAGGCACACGCCACCCCGCCCTGCTAATGTTTGTATTTTTAGTAAAGACAAGGTCTCACCGTGTTGGCCAGGCCGGTCTTGAACTCCTGACCTCAAGTGATCTACTCACCTCCCAAAGTGCTGGAATTACAGGCATGAGCCACTGTGCCTGGCATGAGCTGAGTTTTTGAGCTGTGAATGGCAGATGAGGGAGAGGAAAACTGTCCTAGATGTTGATGTAAAAAAAACTACTCCCTTGCATATTTGGGGTTAGAATTAGTTAGATTTGGGTGGAAGAAAGGAGACATGAGAAACAAAGTAAGGAAGTAGGCAGATATTTCCTAAAGAAATTTTATGTGTCGTGTTTACATATCCTTAGGGATAAAATCTTAACTTTATGGGAGATTTTAATCTTACATCTATGTGTGTGTGTGTGTATACACATATATATATAAATATATGTGTGTATATGTATTTTTTTTTTGACATGGTGTCTCACTCTGTCACCCAGGCTGGAGTGTAATGGCACAATCTTGGCTCACTGCAACCTCCACCTCCAGGGTTCAAGAGATTCTCCTGTCTCAGCATCCCAAGTAGCTGGGATTACAGTTGCCTGCCACCACACCCGGCTAATTTTTGTATTTTTAGTAGAGTCGGGGTTTCACCATGTCGGCCAGGCTGGTGTCGAACTCCCGGTCTCAAGTGATCCACCTGCCTTGGCCTTCCAAAGTACATTTATATTTTTGAAAGTCTGAGAAGACTATAGGTTTCTGGTGTGATTATCTGTATAGGTAACCTGTTTTGCCTAAGTAGAGACTGTAGGAAGAGAATCAGGTTGGGTAGGGAATCTGATGCATAAAAGTGGAGATCAGTTAGAATGCTATTGCAGTAATCCAGAGAAGTAATGAAGCAGTAACAGTGAGCCCAGGAAGAAGGGAAATTGATGAATTTATGTGATATTTAGGACAGTAAATCATCATCCTTTGGAACCATTTGAATGTGGTGGCTAAGGAAAATAGCATAGTCTGAAGTTCACTGTTGGGTTTCTATGATTTGGCAACTGGGCAGATGATGATGCCTTTCATTGATAAGAAATATGGGGAGAGGAGCAGGTTTGGTCAGGGTAATAGAATTCAGTTTGGGGTGTGTTCAGTTTGTGATGTAAGAGAGAAATATAATGATTTTTAACTTGTGGATTATCATGTTATGAGCCAGATACATTCCATAGTGTTTGGAAGAGATCCAAGTAGGGTTAGAAATATGGTGCCAGAGCAAGAGAGGGGGTCTGGCCTAAATGTATAGATTTTTCAGCATGTAGGTTGTATCTATAGCATTCGGTGAGCCTGAAATCATTCAGTGAGACCCTAGAATGAAAAGAAGACTGAGGATGGGTAACCACTGGTGTGCCATAATCCAGATGATGACTTCCTGTTAAAGTCCAAGTGAAAGATGCAGATGCCTTACTACAGTGTCCCACAAGACTGTACATGATCTCTTAACTGCTATTGCTCTGACTTTACTAATCTTCTTGTTCACTGGGCTTTAGCCACCCTGGCCTTCTGTTTCTCAGACAGTAAAATGCTCTTCCCTCGAATGCTCATAGTCCCTTCTGTGTGGCATGCTATGTTTTCTCAGAAGTTTTATTGCTGGCTCTTTGTATTATTGAGGTCCCAACTCAAATATCACTTCCTCAGAGAGGCCTTCCACAACCATTGAATCTAAAACAGCTATCCAATCACTATTCCTCATTTTCCTCATTAGTTGCCTAATTTTCTTTTTTTGTTGTTGTTAATTTTTGGCTTTTTAATTAATTATTTTTAGAGCCAGGATCTTGCTCTGTCACCTAGAGTGGAGTGCAGTGGCATAGTCATAGCTCACTGTGACCTCCAACTCTTGAGCTCAAGTGATCCTCCCTCCTCAGCCTCCCAGTAGCTAGGACTGTAGGCGCATACCACCACGCCTGACTGGTTTTTTTTTTTATTTTGTGTAGAGACAGGGCCTCACTATGTTGCCAACCTGGTCTCAAACTTCTGGTCTCAAACGATTGATCCTCTTGCCTTGGCCTCCCAGATCACTGGGATTACAGAGTGAGCCACCATGCCCTGACCGCAGCTTTATTTTCCTTATATTCTCTTTCCAGTGGTGTGCTACAGCAGTCTTCTATTGGCTTGCAAGAGCTGATTGTTAAATTTTCATGAAGTTTGTGAGCCCATTCTTAAAACACAGCCATTATTAAAAATTAAATAGCCGGGCGCTGTGGCTTACGCCTGTAATCCCAGCACTTTGGGAGGCCAAAGCAGGCGGATCACCTGAGGTCGGGAGCTCGCGACCAGCCTGACCAACATCGAGAAACCCCGTCTCTACTAAAAACACAAAATTAGCTGGGCATGGTGGCACATGCCTGTAATCCCAGCTACTCGGGAGGCTGAGGCAGGAGAATCGCTTGAACCCGGGAGGTGGAAGTTGCAGTGAGCCGAGATTGCGCCATTGCACTCCAGCCTGGGCAACAAGAGTGAAACTCTGTCTCAAAAAAAAAAATTAAATATTAAATTATGTAAATTTACGATTAAATCCTGTTTTTAAAAAAGGTAATAAATACTGATAACTTAACATTTTCTCATTATTGTACTATTACCTGTGCTCTTGAGATTATTTGTCTATCGTGCTGGAAGGTGGAGATCCTGTATCCTGTATAACTGTGTGCTACTGCTCATTTCTCCCCAGCTTTGCGTTTGCTGGGGTCAGATTGGAAGCTTTAAATCTGCCCTGGTGGGAGCGTATATCCCACAAAAATTGACAAATGCTATAACTCAGAGCTCTCCCATATCAAGCGTTAAATGGTTAAACATTGACCAACATACTACTGGTGGTATCACTAAATGAATTTACCTTGTTTATTTGTTGTCTGTCTTTCCATAAGGACACGTAGGCTCTCAGTGCAGTCCCTGCCTGCCTTGTTCATGCTGTATTCACAGCCTGTAAAACAGTGCCTGGTACACTGTGAGCTCTCAGTCACTATCTGTTGAATGAGTGGATCCTCCAGAGCAGTTAAAAGGGAGGTATAAGAAAGGCCTATTTCACTAGCAGTAGGGAGAGGCCTGCTCTACTAAGTAAGATGGGGGAGAGATAGTTCCCCTAAGGCTTACTTGGGTTCTTCTTTGTGTTATGTTCCTGAGTGAGTAGCCATGTAAATTTACTTACTTAATGATAGTAAAAACTTCTCAAGCATGGTATAGGGAAGGCCAATTAATGAGCAGGAACACTCAACCCTAGCTGCACATAGGAATCACTTGGAGTATTTTTAAAAAGAATTTGGACAGCTGAGCAGCACTCACAGACCAAATTAATCAGAAATCTCTACAGGTGGAACCTGGATATCAGTATTTATTTTGAAGTGCCCCCAGGTTATTTTAATGTGCAGCCTGAGTTTAAAACCACTGGATTCGGCCGGGCGCGTTGGCTCACGCCTGTAATCCCAGCACTTTGGGAGGCCTAGGCAGGTGGATCACGAGGTCAGGAGATCCAGACCATCCTGGCTAACACGGTGAAACCTCGTCTCTACTATAAATACAAAAAATTAGCCGGGCATGGTGGCGGGCGCCTGTAGTCCCAGCCGCTCGGCAGGCTGAGGCAGAATGGCGTGAACCCGGGAGGCGGAGCTTGCAGTGAGCTGAGATCGTGCCACTGCACTCCAGCCTGGGCAACAGAGAGAGACTCCATCTCAAAAAAAAAAACCACTGGATTCGACATCGGGTAAGGGCCAGAATGGGGAGATTTGAGCCTTATACTGTGAATACTGAGGAGCCATCATCGATAGGGTTCAAAAAGTGACTTCATTCTGTAATTTATTTTTTCATTCTACAGTGGCTTGAGTTCATACTAGAAACTGGGAGTACAGAAATGTATAGGACACCTTATCTACCAGATAAGAAGTTCACAGTCTTGTAAGGGAGGCACCAAATACGAGTTTAATGAAGTGTTTTAGAGACCATCTTGAAAATCCGATTATTGAGGGTTCAGTGAAGACTGAAAGGAAAGGATGACCTGTTCAATCTAGGTAAAGGGGAGAACCAGAATATGGGACACAGAAGAGGTAAACACAAGCTCTGGTTGATGGCTAAATATTTCCCAGGTGAACAGTGCGGAAGGAGCATTTGTAAATGCCCCTCTCAATAACTGGTACCACCATCCACCTTGTTCTTCATAAAAGAGACTGTCTCTCTCTTGATCACCACTATATCCTCAGCACATACCACAGTGTCAAGCACATAGGCATTCAGATATTTGAGAATGAATGCTATTCTGTAGAGGGAGCAACTTGAATCAGAGATCTGGGAACACGTAGTGTGTTTAGGGAACTGCAGGTCTTGGCATAGCTGGACTATTGGATTAAGAGGAATGGTCATGAGGCAGGAGGTGGGGGGTCATGAAGAGCCTGGGGTCATATGCTAAGACAGGTGGACTTGATGTAAGTCCACCTTGCAAGTAACAGAACCACGGAAGGATTGTAGATGATCGTATTTGGCAAGCTTTTTCAAAGTATACATGCCTGCTAGTTTCCCTTAGGGGTTCTTATCCTGAAGACTCCCTCGCTCCCATACATGTCTGTGTTTATATATGTACAGTTGACCTTTGAACAACGTGGGAGTTGGGGGCACCAACCCTCTGCACAGTCGAAAATTCACAATAACTCTTGACTCTCCAAAAGTTTCATTAGTAGTAACCTACTGTTGACCTAGCTGATAACATAAGCAATTCATTAAGGCTTATTTTATATGTTATGTGTATTATGTACTGTATTCTTAATAAAGTATGCTAGAGAAAAGAAAATGTTACTAAGAAAATCATAAGAGAAAATATATTTACTATTCATCAAGTGGGAGTGGATCGTCATTAATCCACTTCATCCTCATCACTTCACATCGAGTAGGCTGAGGAGGAGGAGGAAGAGGAGGGGTTGGATTTGCCCTCTCAGGAGTGGCAGAAGCAGAAAATCCTCATATAGGCCAGGCGTGGTGGTTCACGCCTGTAATCCAGCGCTTTGGGAGGCCAAGGTGGGAAGATAATTTGAGCTCAGGAGTTTCAGACCAGCTTGGGCAACATAGCAAGACCCCCGTCTCTATTGAAAAAAAAAAAAACTTAAATGTAAAAATCCTCATGTAAGTAGACCTGTGCAGTTCAAATGTGTGTTGTTTAAGGGTCAGCTATATATACGTATAAACACACACACAAACACACACAGAGTCACATGATGCATAACAACGTTTTAGTCAGTATATGATGGTGGTCCCATAAGATTATAATATCGTATTTTTGCTGTATCTTTTTTGTGTTTATATGTGTAAATTTGTACCATTGTGTTACAATCACTTATAGCATTCAGTACAGTAACATGCTGTACAGGTTTGTAGCCTAGGAGCAATAGGCTAACCACTATACTATATATAGCCTAGGTATGTAGTAGGCTATACCATCTGAGTTTGTGTAAACACACTCTGTGATGTTTGTACAATGATGAAATTGCCTACCAATGCATTTCTCAGAGTGTATCTCTGTTGTTAAACAGTGCATGACTGTATATGTGTATACATATATCCCCAGCTGATTCTGATCCTTTTCTCCTTCCACTCCCAGGACCACTAAATGGGAAGTTCTTGTTTTTAAGCCCTAAAATGATATAATGGTAGTTGGCTGCAGTCTATAGAGCGCAAACTGATACAACTATATATTTATTAATGAGAAATGTGGGATTTGAGAAGGTTTTCCAGCCTTATAAGCAAGAGTATTTATTACAAGGGTTGCAACTTTACATGAGAACTCCAACAGTGAAAAGACCTTTCCTTCATATAGTCTCTCTATATATGGACATAAAAATGTTCATGTTTGTATGTTTCACCTGCCACCCTTTTATAAACTCCTCATAAATGCTATTTGCTGCCACTTATATTCTTATGCCAAATTGTGGTCTCAGTTAACATTCTGTATTTTCTTCTATTACCTCAACATTTCATCTTTCAGTTATTGAGTTCAGTTATTGACCAATTATGCTATATTCCAAATAAAACCAGATGTTGGAAATACAAAGAGAAAATGAACTTTCCTACCTTCGAGATAATTTCATTTTAGTAGGGAGACAGACATGCATACAATTACAGTGTTGTGGGATACATACCATAATAGGTGTAGTTAGTGGGAAAAGAAGTGACAGGGAAAATATGAATGATTCCATTCGGGACTCTGGGAGAGCTTTCATAGAGGAGTGGTGCCTAAGCCTCTAAAGCATTTAGAATGCGCCTAACACTTTAGTGTCAGCACATATGACAAGTGTCCTGACTCTTTGTAAGCAGTTATACGTGTTAGCTTTAATTATTATCATTACTACTACTTTTGTAATCAGAAAAGTACTTTTTAAAAAATTAACAAATCAGAAGTCATTGGTAGACGTGTAAAGAGCAGTTTCAGGGGCTGGTTGGATAGAAGCTGAATGGCAGGGGCTGAATAAGAAATAAAAAATTTGTCACAGGCCAGGCACAATAGCTCACACCTGTAATCCCAGCACTTTGGGAGACCAAGGTGGGAGGATTGCTTGAGCCAGGAGTTTGAGACCAGCCTGGGCAACAGAGCAAGACTGTACCTCTTTATTATTATTATTATTATTATTATTATTTTATTTTGTAGAGATGGGGTCTTGCTATGTTGCCCAGGCTGGTCTTGAATGCCCGGCTTCAAGCAATCCTGCTTGAAGTGTGGAGGATTGAGATTAGCCTCCCAAAGTGCTGGAATTACAGGCATGAGCCACCATGCCCAGCCAAGACTGTCTCTACAAAAAAAATTAAGAATTAACTGGGCTTGGTGGTATGCACTTGTAATCCTAGCTACTCGAGAGGCTGAGGCAGGAGGGAGGATTGCTTTAGGAGTTCAAGGCTGTAGTGAGCTATATAATGGTGGCACTGTACTCCAGCCTGAGCAAGAGAATAAGCTCTTGTCTCGAAAAGAAGAAAAGAAAGTTATCACAGCCATATACTGCTCAACAGTACCTTTTATTGGAGCGCTTGTTTCTTGAATGATTTTTCCTTTTATTTGCACCCATATAGTTTTGTTTTATTTTATATAATTTGGGTTTCAAATGTTTGTTTTAATGTAATTTTTAAAGCTAAGTAGAGGCAAATGGAACAGGTTTGTCAGTGTGGCAGGTGAAACCATGTGAAGTTGATCAGATTACTCTAGGGCTTAATGTCTCATCTTTGCTGTCTTCATTAAATTTCCCAAAGAGATACTGACAATGATAGCAATCAGAAATATAATAAAATATTATGATAACTCAGTATCAATTTATTGATCCTAATTTTCTTTACATCTCTTTTTTTTACTATATGAAAATCTAACATCAGAACACTCTGCTCCTGTTCACGTCATAGAGTAATATTTTGTCAAAGATGAAACCTTACCAATGTAGTCTTTAATCTGTCCTGATTTATTTTACAGTATGTGCTCATTACTTTCTTGCCTTATCCACAGAAGGAGCTCAAAAAGTGGGATGAGTTTGAAGATATTTTAGAAGAGAGGAGGCATGTCAGTGACTTGAAATTTGCAATGAAATGCTACACACCTCTTGTCTATAAGGGAATTACTCCATGTAAACCAATTGATATTAAATGTAGTGTTCTCAATTCTGAGGAGATTCATTATGTCATTAAACAGGTAAGTGATTCCCTCTTCAACCATGGCCAGATTTGTTCATTGTCAACAAGTTCTTAATTCTATAACTTATTTTGCTACTTTAATATATCCTTTTAGGCTGAGCTGTATTCATCACATTTATCAAATAATTACTGTATCCGTGTGTGTTAGCCTCTTGCTAGACACTAGACTAGAGGTCTAACAGTGAGCGAGTTGAGCGTAAGTGAAATATGTCGTCTGGGCATAAGTGAAATATGATACGAGACATGCTAGTGGGAGCCCAGTGTGCAGGGGCGCTAATTAATTATAGGGGCAACTCATTTGGTGTAGAGAGTCAAGGAAGTGATTTTTTTTAATGAGGCCTAAAAGATAATTAGAGATGTTGCAGGTGAAGTGGGGAAAGAGTATTCAAGCCAAACAAATAACTTATTCCTGTGGTTTTCAAACCTCCACATTAGCATTACCCAGGGAGCTTTTCAAAATCCCCATATCATCCCCATGCCAATTAAATAAAAATGTCAGGGAAGGGAATATCAGTAGTTTTTAAAGAAGCCCAGGTGATTCCAAAGTATAGCAAAGTTTGGGAGCCACTGGCTTATTTTAAGGACCGAAGCCTTGAAAAGACTTGTACTTTTCTCTTGGAGAAGCTATCAGTTTTCTCTGGTAGGAGATAGGTTGAGCCTATTCCATTAAGTGCATTCAAGTTTCCTCATCAATTAGATGCTAACAACAGTGGTTCTCAACACTGGCTTCCCCTTAGAATCACCTGTAGAACTTTTGCAAAAAGTTTACTTTCACTGTACTGAAACTAGTTCAGTATGACGAGACCAAAGAGCAAAGAAGGGATGATAATAAGAAATAAGCCTAGAGAGGTAAGAGGGTCATGTTATGAAGGACTTTGTAAACCATGTTGGATTGTATTTTATCCTAGTACAGTGCAAAGATGTTGAAAGGTTTCAAGATACAGTGTGACACAATCGGCTAATGTTTTAGAAAAACCATTCTGCTAAAACTAGACAGGAAGTCTGCTTGTGATGCTCTTGGAATAATCCCTTTGTGCAGTCATAGTTGCCTAGACTAGGGAGTGGTTGTAGAAACAGAGAAATGGACAGATTTAAGGGATTTGAGAGGTGGGGTCTACTTCATTTATGACCAGTTGGGTGTAGGAATGGAAGGAAAAGAAAGAGTCAGGGATGATAAAGCCATTCACTGAAATAGGGAACTTAAGAGGGAACCAGTTTGGGAGGGAAACTTAAGTTCTGTTATAGCTGTGTGATTTGAAGACATCAAAATGAAGGTATTTGGTGGGCAGGAGCTCCCTGATCGCTAGCCCTCCACGTCATATCACCCAGGTGCTTGTATGGTCATAGGCCCACAGGTGGATAAATGGATGCATTGCAGGTGTTGCTAGCCTGGGGCTTGGTCCCGCCCAGATCCTCTTCATAGCTTTGGGAGTGTGGCAAGGAATGACTGGCCTCATTTTTGCTAGCAGCAGTCTCCTATTGCTCCATGCCCTCATTTTTTTCCTGGTCAGAAGAGAAAATATTCTTAAGAAACTCCTCTAAGGAATATGCTCTCTCCTTTTTTTTTTTTCTTTTGGTCCTCTATAAATGTCTTAAAGGAAAACAAGCATGTATGCAACTAGTGTGTTTTTGTAAGGAGAGTGAACTCATTCAGAATTGCAGTATTCTTGCTTGATGTTGGTTACCAAATATTAACATTTGACGCTGCCTCTTTATTTGTGTAGATTGTGGCTCACTCTCGTCTTCCCCATAGACAGAACTGACTCCGTTCATGTTTAAGGCCTCTCCCTGACTTTGCCTGTTACCTCCAGTTTTTTTGTTTTATTTTGTTTTGTTTTTTTGAGACGGAGTCTTACTCTGTTGCCCAGGCTGGAGTGCAGTATCGCGATCTCGGCTCACTGCAAGCTCCGCCTCCCGGGTTCATGCCATTCTCCTGCCTCAGCCTCCCGAGTAGCTAGGACTACAGGCACCAGCCGCCACGCCCGGCTAATTTTTTGTATTTTTTAGCAGAGACGGGGTTTCACCATGTTAGCAAGGATGGTCTCGATCTCCTGACCTTGTGATCTGCTCTCCTTGGCCTCCCAAAGTGCTGGGATTACAGGCGTGAGCCGCCACACCCGGCCTACCTCCAGTTTTTAGTAGAGATGTCTTCAGTCTTGTCTTTAGGAGTATTGCCCCAGACTTCAAGTTATACCATATTTGTTCTGCAACTTCCTCTCTGACCTCTTGGAATCTGCTCTGGTTTCTAATTAGTGAAGAAGAAAGACAGTTGTCAAGCTTTAAATTCGCCTCTAATGCTCTAAGGCTGGCCTGTAGAGATCTTGCTTTTTTAACTTTTAACTGGAGTTTATTCAGGTTTGTGGCCTTGGGAACATTTTTATCTCTGCTCTCTGTTTTCTGGATTTGGACATATGAGCTGTGCTCCTATTCCTTTGTTTTTATTGGCCTTACATATCCTGGAGAGGCTATCAGTTTTATCAGGTTGGGCCTATTTCATAAGTGAAGTCAAGTTTCCTCATCAATTAGATGCTAACAACAGCAGTTAGTTCTTCCTTATAGAAGCACTTGGAGAACTTTTGCAAAAGTTACTATTATTATCTACTAGGAGGTAAACTCCATGAAGGCAAGAATTCCTGTCTCTTTTTTCACTGCCGTATTCCCAGTGCCTAACACATAGTAGACATTCAATCAATATTTGTTGAATTAGTGAATTTTTAAAAATGAGGCCATGGTCCCATCTACAGAGATTCTGATTTAACTGGTCTGGGATAGGACCCAGGCATCTCTCTCCCGAGTAGCTGGGATTACAGGCGCCTGCCACCACACCCGGCTAATTTTTGTATTTTTAGTAGAGACAGGGTTTCATCATGTTGGCCAGGCTGGTCTCAAACTCCTGACCTCAGGTGATCCGCCCACCTCGGCCTCCCAAAGTGCTGGATTACTGGCATGAGCCACCATGCCCAGCCTTCTGCTTTTCTTTAAAACTCCTCAAATAATTCTAATGCACACCCAGGTTAAGTGTTACCAATTTAAAAGATCTTATTCAGGCCAGTGTTTCTCTGACTTGGCTGTGCTGCTGAGAAAAATCACATAAACTAAGATAGATTGGAATCGTACAAATTCATAATTAGGCAGCACAACTGGGCCTTCCATATTCCCCAGTAATTCTGTTTCCCTAGTGAACTGTTTTTCATTCTCCAAAATGACAGTTTTAGCAGCCCCACTCTCCTTGAACTTCCAGCCCTGCCTCCTCTTCTTACTCTCAGCAGATGGTTTTTCTTCCAGTGTCACAGTGAAAAATTTTTTTTTTTTTTGAGACGGAGTCTCGCTCTGTCACCCAGGCTGGAGGGCAGTGGCGCGATCTCGGCTCACTGCAAGCTCTGCCTCCCGGGTTCACACCATCCTCCTGCCTCAGCCTCCTGAGTAGCTGGGACTACAGGTGTCCGCCACCATGCCCAGCTAATTTTTTTTTTTTTGTATTTTTAGTAGAGACAGGGTTTCACCTTGTTAGTCAGGATGGTCTTGATCTCCTGACCTCGTGATCCACCCGCCTTGGCCTCCCAAAGTGCTACAATTATAGGCGTGAGCCATTGCGTCCGGCCGAAAAAAATTTTTTTTTTTTTTTGCGACAGAGTCTCCCTCTGTCTCCCAGACTGGAGTGCGGTGCACAATCTCGGTTCACTGCAATCTCCGCCTCCCAGGTTCAAGTGATTCTCCTGCCTCAGCGTCCCAAGTAGCTGGGATTACAGGCACCCACCACTGCGCCTGGCTAATTTTTTGTATTTTCAGTAGAGATGGGGTCTCACCATGGTGACCAGGCTGGTCTTGAACTCCTGACCTCAGGTAATCCGCCCACCTCAGCCTCCCAAAGCACTGGGATTACAGGTGCGAGCCACTGCCCCCAACCACAAAGAAAATTTAAACTATTGTTAGTGCTCTCTCAACTTCCTGTGATCAAATCTACCAATTTACCTGCATCCAGTACTCATTATTTTCTCCTGTTAAAATAGAAGAAATCCCTTCTCCTGTTTGAGTTTAATCCCTACCCTATTCCTTTGTTCTAAATTCCACCCTCTCCCTCATCCTCAGGAACTTTGCTCTCCTGACTATCCCTTCTTATTTCTTCAACTACTTCTTTATTAGCTCTTCTCCCATCAGCATTTAGCATATTTACTTCTCTCCCAGTTTAAATAGACCTACATCCTTTAACCCCATGCCTTCTCTAGTTACTATCTCTTTCTTCCCCCTCGTCTACCTCTCTCCTCCTCTTTTAAGAAATTGATTTGTGTTATTCTTTAGAGACAGGATCTCTCTGTCACCCAGGCTGGAGTACAGTGGCATGATCATAGCTCACTGTAACCTTGAACTCCTGGGCTCAAGCGATCTTCCTGCCCCAGCCTCCTAAGTAGCTTGAACCCCAGACATGTGCCACCATGCCCAGCTTTTTTTGTTTTGTTTTTTAAAATTTTTTGTAGGACAGGATCCCGCTATGTTGCCCAGGCTGAGCTTGAACTCCTGACCTCAAGCGATCCTTCTGCCTTGGCCTCCTAAAGTGCTGGGATTACAGGTGTGAGCCACTGTACCTGGCTCAAAATTGGCCACGTTGTCCATGCTTACCATCACACCTCCTCATCCTTCATTTACTACTCAACTTGCTGGAATCCAGTTTCTCATCCACTGTCATGGCTCTTTCTGAGGTTGTAAATGACTTCCTTATGGGTAAATTCTACCTGTTTCAAAGCTGTAATAGTCGTTGGCTCTTGCTCTTTCTCCTTTCTTTTCATGACACCATACCATCACCCTAAGCCCCATGTCTTTTTAATCATTCCTCATTTGCTTTTATGGGCTTTTCCTTTGCCTGTCTCTTTAAATGATGGAATGCGTCAGGATTTTATTCCAGCCTCTGGTTTTATTCTACCCAGTCACTGGGCAGTTTTATTAATTGCCAGAATTTTAAGTACTTTCCTTATGCTGACATCTCCCTATTATAAATAATAACATAATAAGAACATGGATAAATAATATCTATTCCTTCAGCCCAGATCTCTTTTGAGTTTCATGTATCTGTTTTTATATGTCTACTAGAATATCCACTTGGAAATTCCAAAGCACCTCAAATTCAAGATGTATAAGTCAAACTCTTTACCCCTCCCACCCCTACCCCTGAGCCAGGTGTCTAAGATATATTACCTCCTACCCCCACCCAGTTTTCCCTGTCTCCAGGAATGGCCCCTCCATGCACTGGTTGACCAAACCACCACAAATCTGGATGCCATCTTCAACTTCTTGCTTTTCTTTCATACGCTGTCAGTCACTAAGACTGCTAATTTTCTCTTTTTTTTTTTTTTTTTTTTTTTTTGAGAGGGAGTCTTGCTCTGTTGCCCAGGCTGGAGTGCAGTGGCGCGATCTGGGCTCACTGCAAGTTCCGCCTCCCAGGTTTGCACCATTCTCCTGCCTCAGCCTCCCAAGTAGCTGGGACTACAGGCACCCACCACCACGCCCAGCTAATTTTTTGTATTTTTAGTAGAGACGAGGTTTCACTTTTTTAGCCAGGATGGTCTCGATCTCCTGACCTCGTGATCCGCCCGCCTCGGCCTCCCAAAGTGCTGGGATTACAGGCGTGAGCCACTGCGCCCGGCCAATTTTCTCTGTTAAATGTCTCTTCCTGTCTATGTATCTCCACCTCTGCTGCCACCTTTCTAACTCAGTCTGCCTTTATCTCACAGAATACAATAGTAGCCATTGAAGGGGTCTTAGCCAAGGAAAGATGTGATTACTTTTGCATTTAAGAGATGTCTCAAGTTTATAATGTGGAGAAGAGACTGAAGAGTCAGAAAAATGAAGCGAGGAGTTAGTTATAAGACTATTGCTCATCTGTTAAGTCTTATATTAGGTTTCTATGAAGGTGTATCTGCTGGGCAAATGAAAAGCCTAATTGCATAGAGTAAGAGATCAGTTGTCTTCTGCTCTGCTGCAGTCACGGAGAAAGCATTTCCTTCAAGCAAGCCAGCCTGTTCACCTGTGTTGTTGATCTATTCATTTCGTTCTAATTCCCAAGGGTATTGTCTTTCCTACCTGTCAGCCCTTTCCACTGGCTCAAGATGGCATGATGATTTTCCATCCAGGGGAAAGTCCTCCCTTGGCCATGTATTCTGCCTCGTTTCCCTCTTTCCCTACTTTTCCTGCTTCTCAGAAGAGTGGGCTACATGTGGTGTCTGCCTTTTCCATTCAGGTCCCAATTTTAGCAGATTGCTGAAGCTTATCTAGTAAAGGTTACCATGGATCTCCAACGGGCCCCTTCATCTCCACGTTGTCTTTTGCTGTGTCTTTTATTGTTACACACTCTCTTCTTCAGGATCATCTTACCTTGACTTCTGTGACATCTGGTTTTATTCTGTGACATTTCATGTTAGATGGTCCTCATTGATCTCTTTCATAAGTTCTTCTGTCTGCCCCATAAGTGCTTCTCAGAGTTGAACCTTCACGCTTCTTACCTCCCTGCTGCTGTCTCCCTGGTCCATTTTATCCATCATTCTCATCATTTCACTTTCCATCTATAGCTTGGTGGTATCCAGTCAATAGCTCTAGCTGTTCCTAGATTATTGGGGTTCAGACTTTTTATCTCCAGCTGTCCAGTTCTCTGCTGGACATCTAATCTGTATGTCCCACATACACCTCAGAATCTGTATAGCTAACTAATTCTTAGCCCCTGTACTTTACTGCCTTCCATCCCTAAGCTGTGGTGTCTATTTCAGGGCTGGCCCCACCACCCATTCTGTTGCCCAAAACAAAACTGAACCATCACCCTGCCCTGCCCTTCTCTTTAGCACCTGTCATTACCCTTGTTTGGCTCTGTACCATCTCTGGCTTGAACTATTTCCATAGGTTTACGGTTATACTTCCTTTCATGGCTGTGTTTCCTGAAATTCATCCCTCTTACCAGTCCCTTGATTCCTCTATTTTCCCTTGGTTCTGCCCTCTGCCCTCTGCCCTTTCTTCCTGTCCAGCTGTTATTAGGATTATCTGAGTAACTGTTTCACCAACCCTTAATTCTCCTTTGCAATCTTTCCTTCCAGACTGACCAGGAAAAAAAGCAGCCTGGAATCTGCCAACTCACCTTCTCTGTTCCTATAACCAGGTGTCTGGCTGCTCCTGGGAGAGTGGGTGAGTTATACAGATCCACATTCTGCAGCCTCAGGATCCCTTCTTCCATCTGTCCCTTTTAGTCCAGTCTCAGAGAAAAGGCGCCTGCTCTCCTGGTCACAGCTAGCCACACCCCTGTGGTCGGAAGTCATCCCGTCCAGCCTCTTCTGAGACCTTTGGCATGCATCTGCTCCCTTTCCTCTATCTTCAGCCTTTCTCTCAGGGGACTTCTTCTATTTGGTCTATAAACAGGTCCGAGGCTTTAACACCACTGAGCTGTATACTTAAAAATGGTTAAAATGGCATATTTTATGTTATGTGTATTTTAATGCAATTTTTTTTTTTTTTTTTTTTTTTTTTTGAGACAGAGTCTCGCTCTGTCGCCCCGGCTGGAGGCAGTGGCTCTATCTTGGCTCACTGCAAGCTCCGCCTCCCAGGTTTACATCATTCTCCTGCCTCAGCCTCCCGAGTAGCTGGGACTATAGTCACCCACCACCACACCCAGCTAATTTTTTTTTTTTCTATTCTTTAGTAGAGACGGGGTTTCACCGTGTTAGCCAGGATGGTCTCAATCTCCTGACCTCGTGATCCACCTGCCTCGGCCTCCCAAAGTGCTGGGATTACAGGCATGAGCCACCACGCCCAGCCAACACAATTTTTTAAAAGTGGAATGCTAATTAATAAAAACAAAAAAACAGGTCCAGGACTTTTGCATCTAGGGAGAGCATTTTTTGCTTTAATTCATATCATCCCTTTACTTCTCATTCAAACTTTCCCATTATTCTGTGGCCACTGTCTTTAGTTCCTCAGCAGTTCATTTAGTCTTCAGTCCATTCAGTATGAGTTCTCTTCTGACTATATTTATAAACTTTTTTTTTTTTTTGGCACAATCACTGTTTCAGGTAACCTGAGTAAAACAAAGGAACACAGGTAAGAGGAAAGAGTTTATCCCAGTTCCTCCCTGTTGAACTGAGCCCCCCAAAAGATAGGATATGCAGCAAGATAGAGATGGTGGTTGCACAACATTTGTGAATGTACAAAATACCACTGAATAGTTCACTTTAAAATGATTAATTTGGCCGGGTGTGGTGGCTCACGCCTGTAATCCCAGCAATTTTGGAGGCTGAGGCGGGCGGATCACCTGAGGTCGGGAGTTCAAGACCAGCCTGACCAACATGGAGAAACCCCGTCTCTCCTAAAAATACAAAATTAGCTGGGCATGGTGGCACATGCCTGTAATCCCAGCTACTCGGGAGGCTAAGGCAGGAGAATCGCTTGAACCCGGGAAGCAGAGGTTGCGGTGAGCCGAGATTGCACCATTGTACTCCAGCCTGGGCAACAAGAGCGAAACTCCGTCTCAAAAAAAAAAAAAAAAGGTTAATTTTATAGTGTGTGAATTTCACCTCAATGAAAAAAAAGGGTAAGATACTTCTTCACTACATGTAATTGGGGTGCCAACACCTGTCCTCTGAGCTTCTGAGCTCATCCTAAAGCAAAGCACTCTCCTTTGGGAAGCATAAGGATTACTTATCCTACAGACTTCATTTCAAAGTGCTTGTTTAGGGGACAATGAAAATGGGCAAATCAGGGCTTCCTCAAGGATAGAAACTGACTTGCTCATCTCCAGGCCCTTGACAGTCCCAGCACACAGCAAACATTTTATTTTCTTTACAAAAGAGCTAGAGGGCCATGTGAATAAAATAAGTTCCGTTGTGAGATTCTTTATTTCACTAATTATCCTTTGATAGCTTGGGACTTTGTGTGCCTGTGACTTGATAGATCTGATGTAGTCTGAGTCGGTAATTTCAATGTGATCTTGTATATTACCTTGTAATAGCATTGAGCCAGCTGGTGGAGCACTGCAGCAATACACTGAGAGAAGCCACTATTTGCTAGGACACTAGACCATGGGCAGCAACTTATTTTAGAGTTTGGATATAAACTTATTAACAAACCAAATGGAAAGGTGAAGTGTTTTCTTCACTCTAAAATGCTATCCTAGAAAGCCATTTTTCTTTTAATTTCTGGCCTTTAAACTTCTTTAAATAGGCTCATTTATCTACTATGACTGTGTTGGGAAGTTGTCAATTAAGAAGACACTATCTTTGAGTTATAGAAGATTAATCCATTTGGAACTAGTCATACTGGTTTGAGTAAAGCTTTCTGACTTTTCTG
The DNA here is from genome assembly GCF_000001405.40 of Homo sapiens. Lineage (NCBI taxonomy): Eukaryota > Metazoa > Chordata > Mammalia > Primates > Hominidae > Homo > Homo sapiens. The sequence goes on from NC_000001.11 coordinate 231,260,464, forward strand.
TTATTGTTGTTAGAAATTATTCCTGCTTTTCCTTTCCTTTTAGCTTTCCAAGGAATCCCTTCAATCTGTGGATGTCCTCCGAGAGGAAGTGAGTGAGATCTTAGATGAAATGAGTCACAAACTGCGTCTTGGAGCCATTCGGTTTTGTGCCTTCACCCTGAGCAAAGTATTTAAACAAATTTTCTCGAAGGTGTGTGTAAATGAAGAAGGTATTCAGAAAGTGAGTATTGATTATTAAAAAAATAAAGAAATAAAAGTCTCATCTTAAAATTAAACAAAAAAAAAAACAGTCTCTTTTTCAACCCCTCACAATTTAATCAACTCAAGGACAGCTCACTTGGTCAATCAAAAGCCTAGGGCCTAATCATCAGGCCTCCAGTCTAGGCAGAAGAGGATGTGCATCTCTGAAGGTTGTTTTCTGTTTTTTTGTTTCCTTTTAACTGCAGACCTACAGGCTTCAGACTAACTTAGTCAAGTAAGACTTATAGACTAACTTAATGCCAGATATTCAGTAACGTTACAAAAGAAATACAAAGAATTCCTGTATATACTTCACCTAGATTCCCTTACAGCATTTCCTTTATCCTTTTCCTAATACTCTGCTGTGTTTTTCCTATAATTAAGGGCATTATCTTATGGTACAAGTATCAAAATAAGGAAATTAACATTGAACAAATACTAGTAATACTGACCTGACTCATATTTCACCAGTTGTCCCAGTCATGTCCTGTCTAGCTAAAGAAAATCGTAGCTCATGTGTTGCGCTAGAAATCCTAGAAAGTGTTCAACTTTCTTCTGTATCCACTTCCATATTAGACTCTTTTAATCTAAAATAATTCCTTAGTATCTGTATTTGTGTTTCATGCTAATTTTTTTTTTTTTTAAAGAACAGGCTAATTATTTTGAAGTGTGAAATGGTTTGAATTTGAGTGATGTTATCTCAGTATTGGGCTCGGGTTGTGTACCTTTGCTAGGAACACCCCGGAAGCGATGCATTCTTCTCAGTGGGTCGTGTCAGCAATGCATGGTGCCTGTCGGTTTCATTACTGGAGATGTTTCACTTCCATCAGTTGGTTATCGTTATGACTGCCAGGTTTCTCTGCTGTAAAGTTATTATTTTTTCCCTTTATAATTAATGAATATCTTGTGAAAAGACTCTTTGAAAATGGCTAAATACCCTGTTTTGCATCATACTTTACCCCACTCGTTTTTGCACCCACTGATGATTTTTGCCTGAATTAATTATTATGTTAATGATTGCCAAATGATGACTTTTCTAATTTCATAAAGAGCTTTCCTTATGAAGAGTATTTTTACTTATTTGTGTTTTATATTTTTTTCTTCTAGGAAAGCTCTTAACTTCACTTGCCTTCCTCCTCATCCCTTTTAATATTTTGTTTTAATTCAGTCATTTACTTTCCTGTCAAATATTTCTTCTTCCTACTGACTGTTTTCGAGATTGCTGACTTATACCCTGAATCTGTCAGAGAATGTTACAGTGTTTGGGACCAAGGGTGGTGGTGAGCCATTTCTTAAGTGATGATCACAGATTACCTGGCCTCTGTTACATTTAGATTTCAAAAAAACAGATAACACATGGATACCAGTGAATCTTGAGATTGATGGCCTGAGGAGTATATTTGGAAACTCAAATTATCCCTCCCAGCCACATGACACCCATTCACCCTGGCAGTGAGTCCAGCACATAGAGAAATACCATTCTTCTCACCTTGTCCTATGAATTTGTAGATTTTTTTTAATCTCTCCAAGAGAAGCTTTGTTTTCTCTTACTACAACCAACCAATTCAATACAGTGGTTAACAGTTGGCTTTTTAAGTCAGACTGACTTGGGTTCCATTCACAGCTCTGCCATTTATTGGATGCATGACCATTTTACAAACAAGAAAGCTAAGGCTTAGACCTTGTTAATTATGTGGTATTAAACAAAGCACGTAAGATAACTGTATATAAAATGATGCTAATATAGTGCCCAACTAATATATGTTAGCGATCATCACTGTTATTATTCTGATCCATAAAAATTTACATTTTTAATATTCTTGCATTATGTGAAATTGTTTAACTAGAAACAGTACTTTTACCTTATCAGAGCAAATCGTTTATGTGTATGGCAAAAAGGCAGAAAAAGAGGATGGGTATTCCCTCTAAATATAGACTTATTCTTCCGTTTTCTGATTTGAGATGTGATTTGATAACATGACAACTGAAATTATTCAAAATGTAACATTTACTTTCAAGCTACAAAGAGCCATCCAGGAGCATCCTGTTGTTCTGCTGCCTAGTCATCGAAGTTACATTGACTTCCTCATGTTGTCTTTTCTTCTATACAATTATGATTTGCCTGTGCCAGTTATAGCAGCAGGAATGGGTATGTATTGTTTTTCTGTTTTTTTAACTGTAAAAATTAAAAAGTTCACTGGCATATTCTAGCAGTACTGAGGTATTTGAAGATGATGATGAAAATAGCCTCTCCTCCTTTCTTCCAGTCCTAGCACTGAATAACTTGAGTTATGTCCTTTGTCCTGTGCTTTACTGTGCCTGAACAGACATCTGCAGGAGTTCATGCACACAGGGTTCTTTGGTGTAGGCTTAAAAAATGAGACTGCACTACTTACAGGTATTAGCTGCCTTTTGCTTTTTTTATTTGATAATATATTAATGGCTACCTCTCTAGGCAATAAATAGATCTAACTTTTTAAAGTTTATTTTTAATTGTGATAAAATACATATAACATCAAATTTGCCATCTAAGTCATCTTCAAAAATATAGTTCAGTGGCATTAAGTACATTTACATTGTTGTGCTGCTATCAACACCATCCATCTCCAGAACTCTTCATCTTGCAAAACTGAAATGGTACCCATTCAACACACTCCCCGTTCTACCCTCCCCCTGACCCTGGGCAATCAGCATTCTACTTTCTGTCTCTGTGAACTACTCTAGATGCTTGATATAGGTGGAATCATACAGTACTTGTCCTTTTGTGACTGGCATATTTCACTTAACAGAATGCCCTCAAGGTTCATCCATGTTGCAGCATGTGTCAGAATTTCCTTCCTTTTTGAAGTTGGAAATGCATCTGCTCAAGACCCTGCTTTCCATTTTTTTATATATATACAAAAATGGTATATATGGAATTGCTGGGTCTTGTGGTAATTTTTTTTCATTTTTTGAGGAACCACCATACTGCCTTCCTTAGCAGCTGCACCATTTTACATTCCCACCAAAAGTGCACAAGAGTTCCAGTTGTTCTACATCCTTGCCAACACCTGTTATTTTCTGATATGTTTTATAATAATTTTAATGAGTGTGAAGTGGTATCTCCTTGTAGTTTTGATTTGCATTTCCCTAATGATTAGTGATGCTGAGCATCTTTTTTGTGTGCTTATTGGCCATTTGTATATCTTTGGAGAAATGTCTGTTCAAGTCCGTTATTTTTTAATTAGGTTGTTTGGGGCTTTTTTTGTTGAGTTGTAGGAATTGTTTCTACATCCTGGATATTCACCCCTTATCAGACAGATGATTTGCAAATATTATCTTCCATTTCATGGGTTACCTTTTCACTCTGTTGATTGTGTTATTTGATGCATGGAAGTTTTTAATTGATGTAGTCCAATTGATCTATTTGTTTCTTTGGTTCCCTGGTTCCCTGTGCTTTTGGTATCAGATCGAAGAAATCATTGCCAAATCCGAGGTCATGAAGCTTTTCCCTTATGTTTTATCCTAAGAGTTTTATGGTTTCAGGTCTTACATTAAGATCTTTGGTTTTTTGAGTTAATTTTTGTATATGGTGTAAGTTAAGGGTCCAACTTCATGTCTAACATTAATTTTAATAGCCATATAATATTCAGCAGTGTGGATATTTCATAATTTAGTAGTTTTGCTGTTATAAACAATGTCATAATACATTTTTATATTGGTGCTTTTATTCCTGTAAGATCGATTCCTAAAAGTGGGATTGCTAAGGCATATAAGTTGTTTATCCACTCCCTTTTAGGGTAGCCAGGAAAGCCAGGATTCAAGTATACACGTTTGTTAATAAATGCAGTGAATGGTAAGGTTAAAACTGCCAAGAACTTAAGCACTTTAAAAGCATTTTCATCTGAACAAACTTGTGAGGAAGTTATTTGAAAACTAGGGGAAATGAAGAGAAAGACTATTTTAAAACTGCTGGTAGCAATCTTCCTTTCTTACAAGATTTGCCTTATTTAATCTCTTCCAACAAAAGTAGGTTGATGTTTTTTCCTGGTAGGCAAAAGATGAGAGCGGGTTTGGCCTGGCTGTCCAGAGCATGAAGGGCACATATTGGTCTGTTGTCAGGCTCAGCAGCATGGCTGACTAAAGACATTGACATCATGACATTGTCATGTTGCTCTGCTGTTGCCCCTGGCTCTAGCTGGCCTACTTGTAAAGGGAGTGGTGCATGGAGAAGCACAAGGTAACCTCCCAGTGAGCACCTGGCCCACAGAATCCCTTCTTTTCTATAATTCTATTAGGTATCTCTTATGTATTTTAATGTCAAAGTATAATAATATCATAGGGGTGTCTTACATTTATGAAATCTTTCTTAATAATGTTTGAGTTTAGGCCAGGCACAGTGGCTTATGCCTGTAATCCCAGTACTTTGGGAGGCCGAGGCAGGAGGACTGCTTGAGGCCAGGAAGTTTGTGACCAACCTAGCCAACATAGCGAGACCCTGTCTCATAAAATAAAATAATAAAATATAAATGAAAAATAAGCATGTTTAAGTTTAGATCTTTATAGAAGATTTCAAGATCTGCAAATAAATATTATCCCCTCTTTTTTAGACTTCCTGGGAATGAAAATGGTTGGTGAGCTGCTACGAATGTCGGGTGCCTTTTTCATGCGGCGTACCTTTGGTGGCAATAAACTCTACTGGGCTGTATTCTCTGAATATGTAAAAACTATGTTACGGGTAAATGCAAATAATTCCCAACTACTCTTAAGCCATATTTTCTTCACTGATGTTTGCTCATTTAAACTCTTAACTTCTGAATAGAACACTTAGCTATTTTGCTTTCCCTCAAGAACTGCTTATAACCTCAGCAATTGGTTTAATCTGTGTGACTCTCTTGTTTAATTTTCACTGTAAGCTGTGTTTGTTCAGGAAGCTTGGGAGGGAGCTTGGGAAAAGGAATCAAAAGAAGCATTTATCATTTTGAGAGTAGGCAATGGGTTTTGTGTTTTGTTTGTTTTCTCTTTAAAGAATGGTTATGCTCCTGTTGAATTTTTCCTCGAAGGGACAAGAAGCCGCTCTGCCAAGACATTGACTCCTAAATTTGGTAGGTCACTACAGATTAAAAGGAAAAATACAAACCCAAAGACATCAGCTGCTACATAAAACTTGACGCTTTATTTAACAAGATATTCTTTTCAAGTGTAAATGTATAACTGTTGATATTTACGGGATTAGTGTATAATGTATGCTTTTAGTATTTTCCGTTTATGTGCTCATGTTTGCTCTGCTCTTCAATATGTTGATGAAGCATTTCTCCCTGTGTTTTGCAGGTCTTCTGAATATTGTGATGGAGCCATTTTTTAAAAGAGAAGTTTTTGATACCTACCTTGTCCCAATTAGTATCAGTTATGATAAGATCTTGGAAGAAACTCTTTATGTGTATGAGCTTCTAGGGGTTCCTAAACCAAAAGAGTCTACAACTGTACGTGAGCTTGATTTTAGCTTAATTGAGAGAATGTGCTGACTGACACATCAACTAATTTCTAAATTTACTGCTTTTCGTTTTCTTCCCCCCCTGTTATGGTACTATTAGGGGTTGCTGAAAGCCAGAAAGATTCTCTCTGAAAATTTTGGAAGCATCCATGTGTACTTTGGAGATCCTGTGTCACTTCGATCTTTGGCAGCTGGGAGGATGAGTCGGAGCTCATATAACTTGGTTCCAAGGTGTGACCTGTGTTTTAATAACTGTCTTAGAAATGAGGATTAAAATCCAAAGGTGTGAGTTGCAATGCTGGAGTTGACCACTTCTCTTGATTTACTTAAGATTACAGAGAAAATGATCAGAAATGCTGTTATCATTCCGTTTTCATCAGTGGAAACCTTCAATTAAAGAAGAATTATGTGTTTGTCCCAAAAAAAGATAAGCTGTGAGATATGTATGTCAAATATGCAAAATCAGACAATGATCATGTTTCTCAAGGGAACTAAAGTGGGAATAAATAATGCCATTATTAACAAGTATATGTGCAGGAATTGTTGAGCACTATTGGTAAGCTAGCCAAAGTATGTACTATTATTTTTGACCCTAGAAAGGATTGCATAATGGTAATGAATGGGAGTGAGTCCTTAGTCTCTAGAGAGTTATAGTTTTATAGGCAAGAAAATATATTAGGTTCTTTCAGGATAAAGAACACAGATACACATTTGAGTTTTCTTAATTAGGAGAAATATACCTGGACAAGTAAGGGAGACAAACCATCTGCCCCTCCAGGCCTCATGTGCTGCAACATCATTTGTAACTTATCTGTAGCTTTAGCAGTTTCCCAGCAGCTACATTAGTCATCACAGACGCTTATGTTAGTTTTTTTCCTGACACAGGCTCTCTCTTTAGATCTCAAATTGGTTTGGCTGGCTATTACCTAGTACAGGGCACCCTTACTGGCTGCATCTTTCACATTAAGCCACCTGTGTGGCAATTTTTAGGTCATGTGTGTATCTCTGCTCCAGCCAGCTCTGTGCAGGCCTTATTGTACTATTCAAAGTTTGGTAATCCATGCATGAAGTCAGACAAACTGAATGGCACCCATTCAGTATAAAATAGTTATTATATAATCTGTTAAGTGTGTTCTACAATGGAGATATGTTCAGCGTGCTATGCATTCTGAAAAGATAGTAATTTAGTCTACTGGGGCAGGCATCCATTCTCAGAGAAACGATGTATCCTATTTAGGAAGCAACAAAAGTTTTTTGCCTGGAACCAGGAATAATAGGACCCTGGACCCCTTCAGTATTTTTACCATCTCTCAAGAGGATATTCCAGAAATGTATGGTCAGATTACACTATAGTAAAGCAAAGGAATACTGTTTGCACCTGACCTGAGAGAATTCAGTTGGCACAAAGTATGAGAAGCCTTCTAAAACGTCTAGAGTCTTTTTCCATCCCCATTTGTCTAAGTAACAGAACTGTAATTTGTTGCTCTGTGCTCTTCCTTTTAGATACATTCCTCAGAAACAGTCTGAGGACATGCATGCCTTTGTCACTGAAGTTGCCTACAAAATGGAGCTTCTGCAAATTGAAAACATGGTTTTGAGCCCCTGGACCCTAATAGTTGCTGTTCTGCTTCAGAACCGGCCATCCATGGACTTTGATGCTCTGGTGGAAAAGACTTTATGGCTAAAAGGCTTAACCCAGGCATTTGGAGGGTTTCTCATTTGGCCTGGTATGTAGGTAGGACATATGTGTTGAGAATGCTTGCTTAATTTGGAAGAGTTAAAACCTGGACCTGAAAAATCTATAGAGGACTTGAGCAAAGGATTGCTCAGAAAGAGAAAGGACAGGCCGGGCGCGGTGGTTCACACCTGTAATCCCAGCACTTTGGGAGGCCAAGGCAGGTGGATCACGAGGTCAGGAGATTGAGACCATCCTGGCTAACGCGGTGAAACCCCGTCTCTACTAAAAAATAGAAAAAATTAACCAGGCGTGGTGGTAGGCGCCTGTAGTCCCAGCTACTCGGGAGGCTGAGGCAGGAGAATGGCATGAACCCAGGAGGCGGAGCTTGCAGTGAGCCGAGATTGTGCCACTGCACTCCAGCTAGGCAACAGAGCGAGACTCTGTCTCAAAAAAGAAAGAAAAAGAGAAAGGACACCAAATCTGTTTTTATCACTATAGGACACAGTGAACACAGCACGTTGATTATTTGAGAATAATTGTTTACATGTCATTTCCCACTACGAGACTCTGAATATCTTGAGGACTAGAATACCATTTCCTTGGCACCTAGTACGGTGGAAAATAAAGTCATGAATCCTAGCCAGGCATGGTGGTACACACCTATAATCCCAGCTACTTGGGAGGCTGAGGTGGGAGGATCACTTGAGCCCAGGAGTTCGAGACCAGCCTCAGTAACATAGTGAGACCCCATCTCCAAAAAAAAAAAAAAAAGGCCGGGCGTGGTGGCTCACACCTGTAATCCCAGCACTTTGGGAGGCTGAGGCGGGCGGATCACGAGGTCAGCAGTTCCAGACCAGCCTGACCAACATGGTGAAACTCCGTCTCTACTAAAAACACAAAAATTAGCCGGGCATGGTGGCGTGCACCTGTAATCCCAGCTACTCGGGAGGCTGAGGCAGGAAAATTGCTTGAACCTGGGAGGCAGAGATTGCAGTGAGCCAAGATTGCGCCACTGCACTCCAGCCTGGGTGATAGAGCGAGATTCCGTCTCAAAAAAAAAAAAAAATTGTACAGGCTACAGTTGGAAATGCGTTTTTTTTTAAAGACCAGATAATTATTTGAAGTCAAGTACCTACTGTTCTTTGATCAACCCAATACTGAATACCTCCTCTGTGCTGGGTACTACCAGGGATATGAAGATGAACAAGATGCCATCCCCATCCTGGACGTTCCCCTGGGTTGCAGAGGGCAGGGTGGGTGGGTAATGTGTAAACAAGTTGTGAGGGTTCAGTGAACAGAGACAAGGAGCAACATGCATGCTGCAGAGGGTTCCTGAGAGTGCTGCAGAGGAAAGGGACCATACTCAGGAAGACTTCACAGAAGCGACTTTTGAACCCTTCAGGAAGACCAGGAGAGGATCCTCGCCAAGGCAGGGATGAGGAATGCAAGATGGGAGGCTTGGGCCCCAGAGATTCATCAGTGATATTAAAGTGTTGGCCCAGATGGGGTGGTGGGTAGATGGAAAATAAAGATGGACCTCCCCGCCTCCTCCCCACCATCCACCATCAGAAGACTGGAGGTATAGAAACAAGTTAGGAGGCTGCTCTGTCCCAATGAGAAATGCAGGATGCCTGAGATGCCTGAGCCGCAGCAGTGGAGGCACTCAGGGCACAGCCAAGAGATGAGGAGGATTTACTGACAAAAATGCCAGTCACCAAGAGAGAGACAAATCAGACACCTGTTCTCAGTGCTGTGATGGGCTGGGTCTGGTAGGAGGCAAAGGATGTGTTAATTATGATACAAGTAGCAAGTGTTGGATGTCATGAGAAATAGCTAAAAGGGCTCAAACCCATCATTGTTTGGCCCAGGAACATATGAAAACATAGGTACTTGTTTTTCTAAAGTGTTTTGCTTTTTCAGGATGGGATAAATGCCATAACTAATCCATAACTAAGAGTATCTGTTCAGTGTCACTACAGTTCTGTTCCTTTTTTCTTTTTTTATGCAGATTACCCCACATTCCTAAGCATGTTCATATCTCAAGCTTTTTATGATCATTTCACATAAAATATTATTCAATTGAGCAAGCTGAGACAAGGCAAGTTGTTCAAGAATGAATGTGATCAAGTCCAGGAGGAAGCCATACCTCTCACTTGTCCCTGCCTTGAAGCAGTAGCAGAACTTGCCACCCAACTTGAGCAGTGTGCCACTGCCAGCCAGCTCTTTGGCTCAGGTTAACTGCAGAATAATTTTCCGTGCTGAGAATATTTGTTAAATATCACCATCTCTTCATTATGCTTCTGTAATTCTACCTGCCTGGCAGCTGTCTGCAGGCCAATATGTCAGGTGATAAGCTACCAACTGCCATGGAGCTGCCCCTTTAGTTATCTTTGATTTGGGGAAAACTGCAAAGTGATATTTTTACCATTTTAGTATGGGTCTAAGCAAGGGGTGTGTGTGCATGTGTGTGTGTGTTGTATGTTTTAATGTATTCATACACTAATCATGGGCCTTTTTCTTAGTATTCTTACATTCCCGTGCATGTGACTTTCCAGTTATGTAACTTGCTGTTAGAAAACTTTAGATTCCCTTGGTTCCTGAAGTACACAGAAGTGGTGTTCATTTTCAGAGTAGAAACTGATGTGCCTTTCAGAATGGCTGACAAATTTTGGGGGTAAGAAAGTATGTTACATGTCCTTAGAGAGAGAGAAAGAATTGATTTATGAAATAGTACTTTTAAATTTTTCTTCAGATTTGGTATCATTACCGTAATTGGTAGACAGTAAAACCTGTCACTTGAAAATGAGCATCTGTCACGTTACCATTAATAACGTTAACGTACGCTAGGCCTAAGACTCCCTGCAGTGACCCATCTTGTTTGAATGAATTGTCTTTGTGTGTAGATAATAAACCTGCTGAAGAAGTTGTCCCGGCCAGCATTCTTCTGCATTCCAACATTGCCAGCCTTGTCAAAGACCAGGTGATTCTGAAAGTGGACTCCGGAGACTCGGAAGTGGTCGATGGGCTTATGCTCCAGCACATCACTCTCCTCATGTGCTCAGCTTATAGGAACCAGCTGCTCAACATTTTTGTGCGCCCATCCTTAGTAGCAGTAGCATTGCAGATGACACCAGGGTTCAGGAAAGGTAATTTTCAGGAATGCAATCTTGACTTTTAGAAGAGGTCTGGCCATTCCATTCCATTTAGGGAGCCACATTTGAAGCCTTGTAATGTTCAGCCTCACGCCGGTGAAGAGCAGGCCTATCACTGAGAAAAAGTTAGCTTTGTTCCCCAAATACTTGTTCATCTGCTTCGAATTTTGGAATTGGGAGGACCTGGAAATAATCTAAACCTTTCCTTCTATAAATATGGAAAATGAGGCCTAGAAAGTTGCATAATTACTGAGAGAAGGATCTGGCATTTGAGTACAGTTCTCCACTTCCTGGTCTGCGGCACTGTTTTGGCTGTGCCAGCTCCCTGATCCAGCAAAGGCAGGTGGGCAGATGAGCAGTCAGCAGTCGATGAGTACTCCCGAGATGCATGGTCTTGTTCTAATTGTATCAGGAGTATAAAAATGAGTACAGTACACGTCATGTTCACAGGAGCCTGTAGTCAAGGCCAGGGGGTTCTGTCAAGGCCCTATGTTAGAATTACTAGGGGAGTGAGCCCCACCCCAAAGTTTCTTCAGTTGACCTGGGGTATGGGCCAGCCATTGGTGTTTGGTTTTGGTTTTGGTTTTGGCTTTTCAAAGCTCCACAGTGATTCTAAGGAAAAGTGCTACAGATATAATAAAGATACCAGGAAATATGAATATAGAGGGAAATTAAGAAATCAGTACCTTTCCTTCCCTACTAGGGAGCCATGGGGTAGGGAAAAATGAAGCGTCCTGGCCTCTAAGGACTGTGATGTCTCGCTGAGTAGAAGCCTGGTTGTAGGTTAGAGTCAATCATTTAAAAACTATGCTAGGGCCGGGCGCAGTGGCTCACGCCTGTAATCCCAGCACTTTGGTAGGCCGTGGTAGGAGGATCACGATGTCAGGAGTTCGAGTCCAGCCTGACCAACATGGTGAAACCCTGTCTCTATTAAAATACAAAAATTAGCTGGGCATGGCGGCGAGTGCCTGTAATCCCAGCTACTTGGGAGGCTGAGGCTGGAGAATCGCTTGACCCCAGGAGGCGGAGGTTGCAGTGAGCCAAGATTGCACCATTGCACTCCAGCCTGGGTGACAGAGCGAGACTCCATCTCAAAAAACAAAAAACAAACTATGCTAGACCGTAGTTTGCTCTGTGGGTAAGATTTGGGTTTAATTTAGCTTCCCTCAGGGGACTTAATTCTTGTCCCTGTTACATGAATAAAATATGCCTTTGAAATACATTTTGTGATAGTAAGGACTTCCTGGTACTCCCTTAAAGTTTAAAGGGCAATGTTGTAATTTTACATGATGCATTTATTTCCAGAGGATGTCTACAGTTGCTTTCGCTTCCTACGTGATGTTTTTGCAGATGAGTTCATCTTCCTTCCAGGAAACACACTAAAGGTAAAGTGCTTACAACAAAGAGCAAGTATGTTTGCAGTGTGAGTTCTAGAAATGTTAGGGGTGAATTCACAGATGTGTCTCAGGCAGTGTGCCATCCCTTTCTTCAAGGCAAAGTGGGGCAGACTTCAAGAGAAACTGGGGCGCTCACAGTTCAGCAGACTCTAGTTTGATTCTTGATCAAGTTTAATTAATAACTTAGGGATTATATGGTGAGAGGAGAGTCATTCTTTGAACTATCAGTGTGGCCATTACAACTAAACTAACTTTATTTTAGTAAACGTTTAAAAATCAGCACACAGCCGGGCGCAGTGGCTCATGCCTGTAATCCCAGCACTTTGGGAGGCCGAGGCAGGCGGATCACGAGGTCAAGAGATCGAGACCATCCTGGCCAACATGGTGAAACCCCGTCTGTACTAAAAATACAAAAATTAGCTGGGCGTGGTGGCGCATGCCTGTAGTCCCAGCTACTCAGGAGGCTGAGGCTGAGGCAGGAGAATCACTTGAACCCGGGAGGTGGAGGTTGCTGTGAGCCAAGATTGTGCCACTGCACTCCAGCCTGGTGACAAGAGGAAGACTCCATCTCAAAAAAAAAGAAACCAAACACAACAAAATCAGCACACATTTTCCTGTTAGCAAGTTGTTAGAATGAGTCACCCAGGCAAGTGCCTTTTACTTTGAGAGTAGTGAGTGCTGGTCCTGCCTGGTCTAGACAGCTGAGGGGTCATCAGGCTCGCAGAGCTGGACTGCTGCTGGGTTGAAGTGGGAAGTGACAGTAGATGAGAGGCATGTTAGGTGTTTGTGTGCTTTAAGGATAAGAGGTTTGATTCTGTAGGGAGTGGAACAGGAGTGTTGGAAACTTTTTTTTTTTTTTTTTTTTTGAGGTGGAGTCTGGCTCTGTCGCTCAGGCTAGAGTGCAGTGGCGCAATCTCAGCTCACTGCAAGCTCTGCCTCCCGGGTTCACTCCATTCTCCTGCCTCAGCCTCCCAAGTAGCAGGGACTACAGGCGCCCACCACTACGCCCGGCTAATTTTTTATATTTTTAGTAGAGACGGGGTTTCACTGTGTTAGCCAGGATGGTCTCGATCTCCTGACTTCATGATCCGCCCGCCTCAGCCTCTCAAAGTGCTGGGATTACAGGCGTGAGCCACCGCGCCCAGCCAGAAATTTTTTAACCATAGCATAATTCTAAGTATTTTTAGGACTTGCTGTATGTATTTCCTATTTAAATTAAGGAGTGGTTCTGCAAAGTAAAAGAAAATCCATCACCCAGGTTGTGATTTGTAAGGCTCAGAAATGTTGTGTTTGAAAACATTTTGAATGTAGAGCAGATGCTTCTCTGGCTACTATCTCACAACCAGAATTGTTCTGGAGGTTGGGGAAATAGCTGGTATTCTGTTGTCTGAGGGCATGTGGCTGCATATATTCAGATAGGCAGTGTATCCATTAACCTAGATGAGGGGGTACATGTATTCAGATGGGCACTATACCCATTAACCTAGATGAACATTATGGCTTCCTCTTCCCTTCTAGGACTTTGAAGAAGGCTGTTACCTGCTTTGTAAAAGTGAAGCCATACAAGTGACTACGAAAGACATCCTAGTTACAGAGAAAGGAAATACTGTGTTAGAATTTTTAGTAGGACTCTTTAAACCTTTTGTGGAAAGCTATCAGGTATGTAAATTTGGCAAGTTCTCCTTCATGCCCCCCATATCAAATATAATAAGACATTCTCACCCTGTGCTTATTTCCAGTCTGAAGGGCAGGTATCTTCCCCAGGCAAATGGAAGAAGGAGAGAGAGTGACTAATACGATCAGTGATTTCACCTCACCAGTGAGACCTTGCTCCCCGCATTCAGGAGGAAGCTTGGTTCATTACAGACCCAAGAGGACAACAGCTTAGTGATGCCATGGTCACAGTATTCACAGGACCACAGTTACACCCACGCATCATCTGTCATACTGTGTCTCATGTCTTAATGAGGCCTTCATGTCAGTCAATATGTAACCTCGAGGTTTGATATATATCAGGCACTCAGTAAAGGCAAGACTTGAGTGATACATAAAGTCAGTTACAGATTACCAGATGTTTATGTTGGAAAGAAAAAGTTCAAGTGCAAGTTCTGAAAGCGTTTGTCAGAGCTCTTGGGAGTAGTTAGAGAGATGGGATGGTATGTTGCCCAGCAGGAATTGTGGCAGGACTCAACGGGAGAGAAAGAGTCTGAAACATAAACTGTAGGAAGGACTTCCACATGCTTGAGAGAAGAGGATGCTGTGACTCGGCTCTGTTCATATAATACATGCACTGGCTCTGGGCACCTGGACCCACTTCCTGGTGCTTGTGGTCCGTGAAATAACTCATTCAGCCTCCTTGCACAAAGTCTAGCACTTACTGAGCATTTGATAAATGCTAGTTCTACCCTTAATCACTGTTCTACAGTAGAAATCATCAAGTATTTTAGGGCATGGTACTTTCTTAGGTGTATTTAGAGAAAAAAAGCAAAGTTATTAAAATCTGACCCCTCTCTTCCCAAGTAGCATAAGAGATACGAAGCTGATGGTAATTAACTTGTACCCCTTGAAGTGAGAAATTATACTTTAATAAATGTCATTATTATTTTAAATCTTTTTCTAATTGTAAAATGTAAACTCAAAGGAGATGCCCTAAAAATTCTTTGGTTTTTCTGGGCTCATTCCTTGGAGGGTCTTTATGCTGCTCTCTTGTGATATATCCTTCTCTTAAGAGGGGCAATGTAAAGTTATTTACTATTCTGTTGAACTTGGCTATCCTTTTTCTCTTTCTGTTCCCCTCATCCTTCCTCTTAAAATCAGATAATTTGCAAGTACCTTTTGAGTGAAGAAGAGGACCACTTCAGTGAGGAACAGTACTTGGCTGCAGTCAGAAAATTCACAAGTCAGCTTCTCGATCAAGGTCAGTCACTGCTCTGTGGGTGCTGATTTCTTTTAGTTGAGAATAGAAACTGGTCAACTAACTCTTCCTCACCCCCAATTTTAGGTACCTCTCAATGTTATGATGTATTATCTTCTGATGTGCAGAAAAACGCCTTAGCAGCCTGTGTGAGGCTCGGAGTAGTGGAGAAGAAGAAGATGTAAGTACTGTACAAGATCCCATGAGTGCTCAAGGAACAAGGAAATGAATGACATTTGAGCTCAAAATCCAGAGAGACATAGAAATGGATGATCTAGGAAATGCTATATTCTACTTTCCTTATCCATCCTCTAATTAGTTAAGTCAGTGTGAGTTATCCTGAAAATTGTATGTGGTTATGAATAGAAATGCAACTGAAGCAAAGAAAGGAAGAAATAACTTTAGGCCAATATTTTTGCTTTGACTTAATGTTGAAATTTATAATTACAAGAAAGATTTTCGGGAGTGTAGTGGGCATATGAGTGTAGACACACATAAATACACACATAATACATATATAGATACATACCTGTATATGTATATATAAACATATAGATGTATGTTCTTCTAAGTGGTTGAATTTAACAGTGATAAAGCTTAATAGTAAACTCTGGCAGTCATGTCTCTTATGTGGTCAGAAGAATGAAGCAAGAAGCCAGGAGGTGGGACAGGAGCCTGAGGCCTTTCGACTACTTAGGCCCAGCCTTGAGGAAGGCAATTGAAAAGTAGTCTTACAATAGCTACGTCAGGAACAAAATATAAAAGTTGTCTTTTCCCCAGAGTTTATGTAATAATAAAGCTTATTATTTTCTCCTAGAAATAATAACTGTATATTTAATGTGAATGAACCTGCCACAACCAAATTAGAAGAAATGCTTGGTAAGTGCAGTTTAATAAAATACAAGTTTTCACATTTTGTTGATGAATTAAAATAAGAAAGTATACTGTGGCACCAAATACTTTATCAAAATGATCAGTAAGTAGTAGAGTTCTAACATAAAAGGGAATTACTTATGCAGTCTGGAATTTTCTCAAGGAAGCTAACGAGAAAGCACAAAGAAAATTAACAAAACACAGCAGGCATAAAAGAAGCAGTCTTACACAGTAGAAAGAGTCAGTCCCTAACATGACTGGTCTCAGCCAGAGGCCCAGACCCTTCACATCCTTGCCTCAGAGAGAGTACCTCATCTCCACTCTTTGTTTGATGCTCTCACTGTCTGTCTTGCATTGCTTCTTTCCCAAGTGAGAGATTAGTGTCAGTGTCTCTATCATGTAGACTTTCTGAACTCAGAATTAGGGCTGATAGCACATCCTTGGGAGAATAATCCAACCCTTACTCTTCTCTAGAGCCTATCAGCTATGAAGAAATAGTCTAGTCCAAAAAGAGTCCTTGAGTGTTGTCTTCCTTGACATAAGAGTCCTTGAGTGTTGACATAAACAGAGGTACAATCAGAGGGGGTCAAGAACACTTTTCCTAGCAATGATGCGGCCATTTTAGAAAGGAGGGTGTTAACATTTGGAAAAAATAATCTGCTGATTATATTGAATGGCGTGATGTCCTTGAGTGGATCGTCTTCCAAGTACTGTTTTTGTACCTAATCTTAATTCAGTACCTCGTCAAACCTGCATGGAAGAGCTTTAGATAAATGTCTGTTGGGATTTGCGGAAGACCAGAATGGGGCATACGGAAAAGGAGAATGGATGAAGAAAAGGGTAGAAGGGCAGTGGGGTAGTTGTTGCATATCGGGAAGGCGGAAGTACTAGACCTTGTAGAAAAAAATATGTAGGTCGAAATCCCAGTCTTCTATTTATATCGTGTCTGAAGAGGTGCATATACCTAAAACAACCACAAACACCTCGCCCTGTGAGGGTGACGGAATCAATTACTTAATCACGGAAAGCAGATGTGATGTGAGCGTGAACATACTGGACTGGAGTTCAGAAAACATGACGGGGTTCAACTCCTGGCCCTGGCCCTGTGGCTCTGGCCATGCTGTCACCTCTTGGAGCATCTACCGCTTCCCTTGTGGAGGGGGCTGGCGTCCCCATGGGTACTGGCCAGCCTGTGAAGCTCTGCACAAGTCTCCAGCTTCTCCCCTGGACAGTCGCCCAAGGAACAGCTGTATGAGGAAGGGCAAAATCAGCATCATTTCATGAGCTGCTTCTCTTTTTTCATCTTAGGTTGTAAGACACCAATAGGAAAACCAGCCACTGCAAAACTTTAATAATCAACAAATAGTTATGGAAAATTCGGTCACGTAATTACTCTCATCGAAGGACTCATTACAACAAACAGGGAAGTAAAGGAAGAGACACATCCTCTCATACTCCCTGAGACTCTGAGAACAGTGGACGCAGAGGGAAGAGATGATCATTGGAAGCAATCAGTTTACTCTTCCCCACCACAGTGGTTAAAAGGCGTTTGTATCTGACACTATGTGTGTGTTTTAAAATAAACTTTTGGAAACATGTTTGGAAAAGCAAAGCTCAGCTCATTTCACTAACACTTTTCAGCTTACTATATGTATTAAACTTTTATGTTGACTTTTGAATTAAAGTATGACAACACTGAAAGCTCTGGATATTAAAAGAAAATGAAAAGGGCATATCTACGTTACTTGTAGCTTGCTTTAATTAAAGTTGCCTCAAACAAGTACAAATTTGAAAGAGATATTTAATAAATTAGCTAGCTTACTTTAAATGTTGGCCACCCTAGGGCCTTAATTAACAAAAATGAATTAGTCAAGTATGTGCAACAAAAAGATGCTGTGTGATGCACCATAAATATGTGTAAGAATTCAAGAGAAGAGAAATTTAGAGTAAGTAGGTAACACCAGAAACCTTGGCAAGTAGCCACCTCTGGAAGTGACATGTAAGCTGAGAACTGGATTGAGCAGGAGCCAGCCCCTAGAGTGGCAGGGTTGGAGTGACGGAGGAAGGGACAGTGGAGTGCAGTGTGCCAGGAGAAAATAGTGATCAGGACGTCCTGGGGCAGGTTCCAGAGCTCCCAAAAGATCAACATGGCTGGAACAAGAGTCACAGATAGTGAAATTGAAGACAGAGGCAGGCGCATTAGTCAGTTTCAGGGTGCCATAACACAACAGCTTAAACACAGCTTAGGCAGCTTAAACACAGACCTATTTTCTCACATTTGTGGAGACTGAAAGTCCCAGATCAAGGTACTTGCATAGTAGGTTCATTTTGAGGCCCCTTTCTGGGCTTGTAGGTGGCTGCCATCTTACCGTGTGCTCAGAATGACCTCTGGGTGTACTCGGAGAAGAAGCAAGTTCTCTGATGCCTCTTCTTTTAAGGACACTGATCCCATCATGAGGCCCCCGTCGTGACTTCATCTAACATTAATCACCTCAAAGACTCCTCTCCAAATATAGGCACATTGGGTTAAAGGTTTCAACATATGAATTTGATTCATGTTGGGATTACAGGCATAAGCCACTGCGCCCGGCCTCAAAAGTCTCTTAAGGCGGGATTCTGGGATTACCTGCATTCAGGGGTCCTGCAATGTGTGTGTGTGTTCCCCAGGACCAGGCTGTTTCTGCTGCACATTGAGATCGGAGAGCCATCTTCTCCATGCATTGGTGACCAGGAGGCCCTCTCTGTGGCTCTGCTTGGGGCTGGTTCTCGATTTCTTTGGGAAGCCAGGGAGGAGTCTGTTGAGATTGACCAAGAGCGAGTTGAAGAGTCAGTTGAACAGTGTTCCTGGCTGAGGACTCTCCTGTATGCCTGTTGAATAGGGGACCTGAGCTGCTGTTCTCCAGGGAGAGAAAAGCTGTGAGTCCAGGGCAATTGGGAGAACAGGACCCTGGCCAATTCTTGCAATGTAGACATGCCTTAGAAAGAATCCCCATACACCCAATTCGTTACTTGTTTTTCTTTACCCTGACACTCATGCTGTGCATGTACATGTTGAAGAATGAGTCAGATGACCTTTATTTCCTTGTAGGTCTGTTTGTAACACATGCCAAGTTTAGACAAAGACTTTGGAGTTTTGGGTGCAAGTGGCTAGACTTGTCTCCTGGCCAGCTCTGTCATTAGTCAAGCAAGCAGACAATGTGGAGGTGAAAGGAAAATGGGGTGCAGTGAAAACCAAATGAGGCTCTGCAGCAGAAGCAGCTCTAGGTGGCTGGGCATGGTGGCTCACACCTGTGATCCCAGCACTTTGGGAGGCTGAGGCCAGCGGATCATGAGGTCAAGATATCAAGACCAGCCTGGCCAACATGGTGAAACCCCATCTCTACTAAAAATACAAAAGATTAGCTGGGCGTGGTGACACGCGCCTGTAGTCCCAGCTACTTGTGAGGCTGAGGCAGGACAATTACTTGAACCCGGGAGACAGAGGTTACAGTGAGCCAAGATAGCGCCACTGCCTGGTGACAGAGCGAGACTCCGTCTAAAAAAAAAAAAAAGAAAAAAAAAGAAGCTCCAGGCATGGGAGCAGAGCTTATCACTTCTCAATTTCGTCATTAACCACCCTCTCTCGACACTTTAAATAAACCTAAAATTATTGTGAAAGAATAACATGCTTACTGTGCTACCAACCTTCAAAGTATGTACTCTGTCCCCAACCCCAGACCTGCTGCTACACACACCCATACCTTTCAACCACATTGCTAGCTGGATGCAGAGGCTCGGGCCTGTAATCCCAGCACTTTGGGAGGCCAAGGCGAGAGGACCACTTGAGCCCAGGAGTTCAAGACCAGCCTGGGCAACATAGTGGACCCCATCTCTACAAAAAATACAAAAATTAGCTGGATGTAGTGGGACACACCTGTAGTCCCAGCTACTCAGGAGGCTGAAATGAGAGGATCACTTGAGCCTGAGAAGTCAAGGCTGCAGTGAGCTGTAACTGCACCACTGTACTCCAGCTTGGATGATGAGTGAGACCCTGTCTGAAAAAAAAAAAACATGGCTTATGCCCCTTCACTACCTACTGCCTATAAATTCTGGAGCTGCCACTGCTTTGAAGTAAGTAGAAAGAAAGCCTGCAGGCCGGTTATGGTGGCTCATGCCTGTAATCCCAGCACTTTGGGAGGCTGAGACAGGCAGATCACTTGATGTCAGGAGTTCGAGACCAGCCTGGCCAACGTGGGGAAACCCTGTCTCTACTAAAAATAGAAAAAATTAGCCTGGCATAGTGGTAGGTGCTTGTAATCCCAGCTACTCAGAAGGCTGAGGCAGAAGAATTGCTTGAACCCAGGAGGTGGAGGTTGCAATGAGTCAAGATAAAATACAAAAAATTAGCCTGGCGTGGTGGTGGGCGCCTATAATCCCAACTACTCAGATGGCTGAGGCAGGAGAATCGCTTGAACCCAGGAGGTGAAGGTTGCAGTGAGCCGAGATCGCACCACTGCCCTCCAGCCTGGGTGACAGAGTGAGACTCCGTCTCAAAAAAAAAAAAAAAAAAAAAAAGCTTGCAGCATCTGGTTTTTCAAGACCATCTCCCCATCAAACACAGTATAATGTAGTAGCCAAGAAAGCAGTATCTGGAGACTGACTGGGTTTGAAACCCAGCTCTACCATATACTAGCCTTGTGTGGTCTTGTGTAACTCACTTGCACAAAGTCTCAAAGCTTCAGCTTTCCTTTTCATAAAATGGAGATGATACTAATACCTACCCACCTCTTGTAGTTGTTGGGAAGATTAAATACAAGTGTAGATACCTTAATCCATTTGTTCTACTATACCAAAATGCCTGAGATTGGGTAATTTATAAATAATAGAAATTTATTTCTCACAGCTCTGGAAGCTGGAGAGTCCAAGCTCAAGGCACCGGCAGGGTTGGTGTCTGGTGAGAGCCTGGTCTTTGCTTCTAAAGTGGCACCTTGCTGCTGCATCCCCCAGAGGGAATGAACACTCTGTCCTCACACAGCAGAAGGGCGGGAAGTGGAAGAAAGGGCCTGAGCTGGGTCCCCCGAGCCCTTCTACAAGGCACTAATGCCATTGATAAGGGCAGACCCCTCATGGCCTAATCATCTCCTAAAGGCCTCCCTTATACCACCACAATGGGGACTAAGTTTCAGCACATGACTTTTGGGGGCATTCAGATCATAGCTCTAAGTAAAATGTTTGAAACAGTTCTTCGGCAATAAGCGTAATCTGTCATTACTACCCCTACTAACTGGGACAAACCCTGCTTGGCTTCTGAGAGAAAATGAGATCGGATGCCTTCAGGGTGGTTGGTACAGCCATAGGCATTTGCATCCTTCACTCACAAACGGCCTCGGCCAGCTGCTCGACATTATATTGTGGCGCATTGCTGCAGCACCCCACTCACAGATATCTGCCACCTTTCAAGTTCAGCTGTGCCATGGCAGAAATCACAACTCTTCCCTCCTCCCTTCCTCCCATCAATAAAATGGAATTATTCAGCGTGAGGTAGAAAATAGATTTTTTTTTTTTTTTGAGATGTAGTCTCGCTCTGTCACCCAGGCTAGAGTGCAGTGGCACGATCTCGGCTCACTGCAAGCTCCGCCTCCTGGGTTCACGCCATTCTCCTGCCTCAGCCTCCCGAGTAGCTGGGACTACAGGTGCCCGCCACCACGCCCGGCTAATTTTTTGTATTTCTAGTGGAGACGGGGTTTCACCGTGTTAGCCAGGATGGTCTCCATCTCTTGATGGAGGTTTGATTATGGTTTATCTCTTGCAATTCCATTTTCAAGTTTTTGTTTTTCATGTTTGACTTTGCCGCCCAAGTTATCTATGATCTCTCCTGTCCATTCACACTTAGGAGGGAGACACCCAAAGCAGGCTATTGAGTTGTAGGCTTCCCGCATAATGGGCTGCACAGGTAGAGTACTAGGACAGGGACTTGGCGGTTTTCTTAGGAGATCCCAAACTTCACTACATTTTGGTCTTTTTCTGTTTGGCCAGTCAGTTTTTCCAGAAAGGAATCTTCCATCCTTCTGCCTGAAATAAATAGTGACTGTCAGCACTCCCCCGTGCCTAGCTGTGCTTAGTGAATACAAGCATAGGGTCGGAAGGGTAAGCGTCAAGTCTTCTGGACGTGGAGGAGGAGCTGCCTGGTGGGGTGAGCTGGGCAGGTTCTTCACAAGGCTGACTGCTGACTGCTCTTACATAGACTTGCAAGCAGTCTTCCTCCCCACACTTTTGCCTTCCTAGTACATCTAATTCCCTCAGTCTTCCTTGGTTCTATGGCACAAATTGTTTGGCTTCACATCCTACAGGTTAAGGTTCTGATCTATCTAGTCAGGTAACACTCTTCTAATGGCTTTCAGTTTATAAGTATCAAGTTGCAGTGTTTTAGCCAAATTTCTCTCGATTGCCTGCTTTTAGAAAAAGATGTTCATCAATTTAAAGCATACAGACTAGATGCAGTGGCTCACGCCTGTAATCTCAGTGCTTTGGAAGGCCAAGGTGGGAGGACTGCTTGAGGACATGAGTTCAAGACCAGCCTAGGCAACTATAGCAAGACCCTGTCTCCACAAAAATAAAAATTAAGTAGGCATTGTGGTTCATGCCTGTTAGTCCTAGCTACACTGGAGGCTAAAGGCAGAAGGATCACTCAGGCCTAGGAGCTGGAGGCTGCAGTGAGCTATGATCACACCTCTGCACTCCAACCTAGGCAACAGAGCAAGACCTTGTCTTTAAAAAAATAAAATAAAATAATAAAGCACATGTAGTACCTCTTTGTCAAAAAATGGCCCTTCTAATTTTTTTTTCTTTTTTTTACTTTCATTGTGATTTTTTTAGTAGGTAGTCTTCTGAAAAATCAGTTTGCCCTCTTGGGAAAAATTTTCATCTGCATGTAACATGGCAGACTGCACCAGAATTGTTGGGACCAGCTGGAAGGCCACTAGGGCCCCTGAGTGCCTGTTTATACTGATCTACAAAGAGCCTTTTTTTAAATTTTTTAATTTTAATTTTTATTTATTTATTTTTTCCAGACAGAGTCCTACTCCATTGCTCAGGCTGGAGTGCAGTGCGTGATCTCAGTTCACTGCAACCTCCACCTCCCAGGTTCAAGCAATTCTCCCACCTCACCCTCCCAAGTAGCTGGGACCACAGATGTGTGCCACTATGCCTGGCTGGTGTTTTGTTGTTGTTTGTTTGTTTTTTGTAGAGATAAGGTTTCACCACGTTGGCCAGGCTGGTCTCGAACTCCTGACCTGATCTGCCCACCTTGGCCTCCCAAAGTGCTGGGGTTACAGGCATGAGCCACCACACCTGGCCAGATCTACAAAGAGTTATACCCTTGAGACCACACCTCGCTTGCATGGGAGTTTTAGGAAGTTTGAACTAGCACCTTTTGCATTGTCTGGAACAAAACCAGATAGAGAACAGCTCCTGGGAGTTGGGAAATGGGAGAAACCTATTAGAAGCTATTGACCATGAAACAGCAGGAAGCTTGGAGGAAAGAATATAATTATCTCAGGGGAAAGCAAATGGATTTGGGATCCAGTAAATCCTTTGCTGTTTCCATGTAGATTCTTAAGACTTGAAACCTATGCTTTATTTGGAAACTGGGCCATTTAAATCCTGAGAACAAAAAGGAAACAAATAGCTAATGCGTAAAATTAAACTTTTCTTAGAACGTGCAATCCTAATTCTGCTGTGTTAAATGGAAATGAGTTTTCTGACTGCTTCAATTTGACAGCAGAGACAAAGCAATTTGTTCAGCTTTCTCATTTATTTATTTATTTATTTATTTATTTATTTATTTATTTTTTGATATAGGGTCTCACTCTGTCACCCAAGCTGGAGTGCAGTGGCACAATCACAGCTCACTGCAGCCTCGACCTCCCCAGGCTCAGGTGATCCTCCCACCTCATCCTCCCAAGCAGCGGGTACTACAGGAGTGCGCCACCACGCCCAGCTAATGTTTTGTATTTTTTTGTACAGACAAGATTTTGCCATGTTGCTCAGGCTGGTCTTGGACTTATAGGCTTAAGCAATCTGCCCGCCTAGGCTTCCCAAAGTGCTGGGATTACAGGCATGAGCCATGGTGCAGGGCCTTGTTCAACTTTTGATATCCATGGGGAACTCTCATAGGTAAAATGATTTATCAGTTTCTTTTTTTTTTTTTTTGAGACGGAGTTTCACTCTCATCACCCAGGCTGGAGTGCAATGGCACGATCTCAGCTTGGCAGAGCAGCACTCAGGTATTGCTGGCTAGCTGTGTTCATAGCTACTCCTTATTTATAAGCTAAATAAGGGGCAGGTTATTCATGAATTTTCTACAAAAGAGGTTGGGAGTTCCTGGGACTGAGAGCTCCTCCCCTTTTAAATCATATAAAGTAACTTCCCAGGGCATGGTGGCTGGGACATTTGTAAACTAATGTAAACATTTGCTGGTGGGAGTGCCTTTTCGCATGCAAATACATTCAATTAGCATACAATGAGCAGTGAGGGCAACTAGAGGTTGCTTTTGTTGCTATCTTGGTTTTAGATGGTTTTGGCCAGTTTCTTTTTTTTTTTTTCTCGCTCTGTCGTCCAGGCTGGAGTGCAGTGGCGCGATCTCGGCTCACAGCAAGCTCCACCTCCCAGGTTCACACCATTCTCCTGCCTCAGCCTCCCGAGTAGCTAGGACTACAGGCGCCTGCCACCACGCCCGGCTAATTTTTTGTATTTTTGGTGGAGACGGGGTTTCACTGTGTTAGCCAGGATGGTCTCTATCTCCTTACCTCGTGATCCGCCCGCCTTGGCCTCCCAAAGTGCTGGGATTACAGGTGTGAGCCACCGCGCCCAGCCGGCCAGTTTCTTTACTGCATCCTTTTTGACTAGATCCTGCTTCAATCAGCTGGGTTGTGACCAGTGCTCAGAAAACAAGTCCTGCTGATCTCCTGCCTCAGTGTGATTACGTGAGCAACTTTTGCACAGGAATCCCATGGAAACTTACTGCTGCAAAATCAAGCACAGTTCAAGAAATCATATCAGCTTTGTTATCTCAGCTTCCCCTCATGGGTCTTACAGATGTCAAGAAAATGATGCCCATTTACAAAAGAATGGCCAAAGTCAAAGGAAATAGTCAAGGGACTTGTCCCTGCAGGGTGGAAATTTTCAAATATTAAGAACTGGGGGCTGGGTGTGGTGGATCACCTTTGGGGGCCAAAGCACACTTTGGGAGGCCGAGGCGGGTGGATCACCCGAGGTCAGGAGTTCGTGACCAGCCTGGCTAACATGGTGAAACCCTGTCTCTACGAAAAATACAAAAATTAGTCGGGTGTGGTGGCAGGCACCTGTAATCCCAGCTACTCAGGAGGCTGAGGTGAGAGAATGGCTTAAACCTGGGAGGTGGAGGTTGCAGTGAGCCAAGATCACATCATTGCACTCCAGCCTGGGTGACAGAGCAAGACACACACAGAAAAAAAAAAAAAAAAACTGGGATGGACCGGGCACGGTGGCTCACGCCTGTAATCCCAGCACTTTGGAAGGCCGAGGCGGGCAGATCACTTGAGGTCAGGAGTTCAAGACCAGCCTGACCAACACGGTGAAGCCCCATCTCTACTAAAAATACAAAAATTAGCCAGGCGTGGTGGCGCATGCCTGTAGTCCCAGCTACTCAGGAGGCTGAAGCAAGAGAATCGCTTGAACCCGGGAGGTGGAGGTTGCAGTGAGCCGAGATCGCACCACTGCACTCCAGCCTGGGTGACAGAGCGAGACTCCATCTCAAAAACAAAAAAAAAAAAAACAAAAAAAAAAGAAGTGGGATGGAAAAGCTGAATATTGACGAATCAAAAGAAAGATCTTATCGCAGCACGATGGGAGGCTCAGTGGACTCACAAGTGCCCCTGCTAGTCTCCCAACTTTGAAGCCCCTAAACAGATCCACCCTATTTACCAGAGTTTGCAAGAATTTGAAAGACTGAAGGCAAAGATAAAAATGAGAAATCTGACCTCGAATCACTGGGGCTAGTGATCAGGCACATGAATCAGGACAAAGACTGGTGCAGGGATCAGGGTCCCTTGGCCTGATCCTCAACAGAGATCTGGGGCTTGTGCATATATGTGAGGATAATGGAAATAGGGTGGAGAAAAACTTCTGAGAGTCCTTTCCACAGGATCCCAGTGCATTATGTTATCAAAACCTGTTGGTGAAGTCCTAATTGGGTGACAGTTTGCTAGGGAGCATCTGGGGATATAGAGATTGATGAGATGAAGGTGAAAGTTTGCATGAAAATTGGAACATTAGAACGGACTTCCTGTGAAGTGCTTGTGTATCCTCTACCTAAGTGTATTATTAGATGGAATCATGTCTGACTGGGAGCACTTCCCATTCCTAGTATTATAAAATCAAAGGTATGTAAGTTTGCCCTTCTGCAATCATTAATTGGGCATATTAAATGGGAACCTATAGAATTGCCTGAGCCCGCATAGCTTGTTAATTTGACACAGTGTCAGATGAATCCTGGTAGACAAAAAGAGATTACCACTTTAACTGCTGACATGTTAGAAGTTGGAGTGCTGGTACTAACAAATGTTCTGTACAAATGTCCCATGTGTGGCCCATGAAAAAGGGAAGTGGCTCATCAAGATTGCAGTAGATTTTCCAGGCTTGAATAAAGTAGTATTGGCCAGGTGCGGCGGCGCACGCCTGTAATCCCAGCATTTTGGGAGGCTGAGGCGGGCAATCACCTGAGGTCAGGAGATCCAGACCAGCCTGGCCATCATGGTGAAACCTCACTGCTATTAAAAATACAAAATTACCTGGGTGTGGTGGCATGCACCTGTAGTTCCAGCTACTCGGGAGGCTGAGGCAGGAGAATCACTTGAACCCGTGAGGCGAATGTTGCAGTGAGCTGAGATCGCGCCACTGCACCTGGGCGACAGATTGAAACTCCATCTCAAAAAAATAAAAAATAAATAAATAAATAAATAAATAAAAATAAAGTAGTCCTGCCTACAGCACCAGCAGTTCCTGATATGGTTTCAATAGTGCAAAAAAATACGATGTCTGGAAGATGTTTTTTTCTTTATCACAATCTTAGAAAAGAATCAAACACAGTTTGCCTTTATGTGGGAAGGATCCCAGCTTACTACATTGTATTGCCACATGGTTATTTGAATTCACCACTTTACTACTGTGTCAATACGCTACATTGCTAATGCCACAATCACATCAGAAACTGAAAAACAAGCCAGGATTGGAAAAGGTTTTAAAAACAACAATAAAAATAATACAAATTTAAAAAATAATAGAACAGGCTGAGCGCAGTTGCTCATGCCTGTAATCCTAGCACTGTGGGAGGCCAATGCGGGCAGATTACCTGAGCTCAGGAGTTCAAGACCAGCCTGGGCAACACAGTGAAACCCCATCTCTACTAAAATACAAAAATTTAGCTGGGCGTGATGGTGGGCTCCTGTAGTCCCAGCTACTTGGGAGACTGAAGCAGGAGAGAATCTCTTGAACGCAGGAGATGGAAGTTGCAGCGACATAGCAAGACTCCGTCTCCAAAAATAATAATAATAATAGAACAACTATTTCCATAGCGTTTGCTCTGTGTTAGTTATTGTAAGTAATCTAGTGATGATTTAAAATATAGGGAAGGATGTGCATGGGTTATATGCAAATACTATGTCATTTTAAAAAAGATACTTCAGCCCCTTGAGATTTTAGTATCCCCTTAGGGAGGGGTCCTAGAACTAATTCCCCACAGATACCCAGGGACACCTGTATCTGAAATTGCATTTCCACAGACTAGAGTCTATGGTAAAAAACCACAAGTGCTGCCTAATGGTGAGCACTTGAATTTTGGCCCAGAAAATTTCCAGATGGGACGGTATGGTATGTGTCATTTCGGAGACAATTATTGGGTCGCTATTTTGGGGGCATTAATTGAAAGTGCTCGTAGGACTGAAAGATATTAAATATTCTGAAGATCTGACATACCCATGATGTCTTGGGTGATGTCAGAGAAATACTAATGAGGAAGCTACTGCCCAGAAGAGCTGACTTTGTAATAAAATGGAAATAATTTATACAGGAACATGATACTGGAGGAATGCAAAGAGGTTTGCATCATATTCACAAGCAGGTAGGCTCATTACCTCTAGGACCAACTTTGGAACCATATGAGGCGCTGCCAGATCCTATAGACATGTGTCTGGTGATGCCTCATGAACACCTCTCCACTGACCAATAAAAATCTCCTTGGTTTACATTAACACTTCTAAAGTAGACGGTCAGCATCCTGTTTGGAAAGGTCCCCACTGTAACCAACTGATGGTAAAATGAATTGAAGAGGTTGAGAACAAGTAAGCTCAGTGAGCTGAACTGCATGCTATTTTCCTTGCAGTGATGGAAGAATTAAACAATTAGAGCCCTGAAGTCTAGATGTGTCCGGAATTGGTGGGCTCTTGGTCTCACTGACTTCAAGAATGAAGCCGTGGACCCTCGCGGTGAGTGTTACAGTTCTTAAAGGTGGCGTGTCCAGAGTTTTTTCCTTCTGATGTTCGGATGTGTTCGGAGTTTCTTCCTTCTGGTGGGTTCGTGGTCTCGCTGGTGCAGGAGTGAAGCTGCAGACCTTCGCCACGAGTGTCACAGCTCTTAACGCGGCACGTCTGGAGTTGTTTGTTTCTCAGGGTGGGTTTGTGGTCTTGCTGGCTTCAGGAGTGAAGCTGCAGACCCTTGCTCTCAATGTTACAGCTCATAAAGGCAGTGTGGACCCAAAGAGTGAGCAGCAGCAAGATTTATTGCAAAGAGCGAAAGAACAAAGCTTCCACAGTGTGGAAGGGGACCCACTTCGGTTGCCACTGCTGGCTTGGGCTGCCTGCTTTTATTCTCTTATCTGGCCCTACCCACATCCTGCTGATTGGTCCATTTTACAGAGAGCGGAGTGGTCTGTTTTGACAGGGCGCTGATTGGTGTGTTTACAATCCCTGAGCTAGACACAAAGGTTCTCCACGTCCCCACCAGATTAGTTAGATACAGAGTATCCACACAAAGGTTCTCCAAGGCCCCACCAGAGTAGCTGGATACAGAGTGTCCATTGGTGCACTCACAAACCCTGAGCTAGACACAGGGTGCTGATTGGTGTGTTTACAAACCTTGAGCTAGATACAGAGTGCCGATTGGTGTATTTACAATCCCTGAGCTAGACATAAAGGTTCTCCACATCCCCACCAGACTCAGGAGCCCAGCTGGCTTCACCCAGTGGATCCCGCACAGGGATGCTGTGCACCCGCACTCCTTGGCCCTTGGGTGGTCGATGGGACTGGGCACCATGGAGCAGAGGGTGGCGCTCGTTGGGGAGGCTCGGGCAGCACAGGAGCCCATGGAGGTGGTGCGAGGCTCAGGCATGGCGGGCTGCAGGTGCCGAGCCCTGCCCCGCGGGAAGGCAGCTAAGGCCCGGTGAGAAATCGAGCACAGTGCCGGTGGGCTGGCACTGCTGGGGGACCCAGTACACCCTCCGCAGCCGCTGGCCCAGGTGCTAAGTCCCTCATTGCCCGGGGCTGGCAGGGCCGGCCGGCTGCTCCGAGTGTGGAGCCCCCCAAGCCCACGCCCACCCAGAACTCCAGCTGGCCCGCAAGCGCCGGGTGCAGCCCCAGTTACCACTCGCGCCTCTCCGTCCACACCTCCCTGCAAGCTGAGGGAGCCGGCTCCAGCCTTGGCCAGCCCAGAAAGGGGCTCCCACAGTGCAGCGGTGGGCTGAAGGGCTCCTCAAGTGCCGCCAAAGTGGGAACCCAGGCAGAGGAGGTGCCGAGAGCGAGTGAGGGCTGTGAGGACTGCCAGCACGCTGTCACCTCTCACCTTGGCCAAGGATGTGGATCTCACCCTTTACTTTCTGCCTTAGAAGTAATCTTATTTCCTAGGCTGGGCATGGTGGCTCACGCCTGTAATCCCAGCACTTTGAGAGGCTGAGGTGGGTGGATCACGAGGTCAAGAGATTAAGACCATCCTGGCCAACATGGTGAAAACCCATCTCTACTAAAAATACAAAAAAAATTAGATGGGCGTGGTGGCACATGCCTGTAGTCCCAGCTACTCAGGAGGCTGAGGTGGGAGAACCGCTTGAATCCAGGAGGTGGAGGTTGCAGTGAGCCGAGATCGTGCCACTGCACTCCAGCCTGGTGAGGGAGTGAGAGTCCGTCAAAAACAAAAAAACAAAAAAGAAGTAATCTTATCTCTTTACACAGATGTAATTTATTTTAAATTTTATTTTGTAATAGTCTTCAGCAGCAGGCTTGATCTGAAGCTTCCTATTCAACTATTGCAAGATGGGCATTGCCTGCTGTATTTTTTCCACTTCACTCTTTTACCCACTTGGAATATATTTATGTGATGAACCTAACCTCAACGCTCACATTGTCTCCAGACAGGACGTTCTTTCTTACATAATTTAGCCCTATGCTATTGCTTTGTAAGAGCACCATGAACTCTTCCCTGAAGTGGGGACTGTGTTGGCCTTTGTAGATGAGAAAGGCTGGGGACAGGCACAGACACTCAGCATCTCTCTACCCAACTAATGACTTGAAGCAACATTTATGACCTCACAGTTAGGAACATGGGCCCTAACTGTGGGGTCAAGCGATTCTCCAGCCTCAGCCTCCCCAGTAGCTGGGACTGCAGGCGCCCGCCACCACGCCCGGCTAATTTTTTATATTTTTAGTAGAGACAGGGTTTCACCGTGTTAGCCAGGATGGTCTCAATCTCCTGACCTTGTGATCTGCCCGCCTTGGCCTCCCAAAGTGCTGGGATTACAGGTGTGAGCCACCATGCCCGGGCCATATATATTCTAATACCATCACTTTGGAGCTTAGGATTTCAACATAGGAATTTCCACAGGGACAGCAACATTCAGACCATAGCAAAGGCCTCCTGGAGGCTGCTGCCTCAACTTCATCAAAACTGCCGCTAAAGCCTCCTGGAGGCTGCTGCCTCAACTGCATCTTCAGCAGTCTAGGGTGTGTCAGCTCAGGGATAACAGAAGGCTGCCTTTCAAAGTTGTGTCTCAATAAGAAGGTCACCGGTTGTGGCTTGTAGAAAGTTTCTTATTAGTGTTCTTCAGATAACTATGAATGAAAGAATTCTAGGTGGTTGTTTGGTTTTCTAAATCTCATTTATGAAGAGTTTGCATTTCTTTTGTGATTTTGACACACACTGTGTGATGAAACAGAGTCCTTCTTCATGCTTGTAAGCTGTGGGTAAGGTAGTCCTACGGGAATGGGCTTTTATAAGGACCCGTGGACACCCACTGCTTGGTTTCCTTTTAGGTCCGATTTCCTGTCTTCTAGGTTTCATGTTTCTCGTTGAAATTAAGGGTTGAGAATATAGGTAGGTGTATATTTATTTATCCCTCAATTCTGGAGAGAAGAAGATCTGTTTTCAAGGCATCTGAGCCTCAGAAACTCTACCTTGAAGTCAGTGGTTGTCAAATAAGGGCAATTTTGCAATGTCTGGAGAGAATTTTGATTGTCACAACTGGGGAGTGCTGCTGGCACCTCCTGGACTGAGACCAAGGATGCTGTGGAGCACCCTGAAACAAAGGTCAGCCCCCCAATGAAGAGTCATCTAGTCCCAAATGTCACTAGTACTGCTGCTCCTGGGGTCAATTTTACCTTCTCCCCTGCCACTGAGAAAGCTGAAGGAAGGATGAGAGCCCAGGCATTCAGCCAGACTCCTGGACATGTGGACCATGGAATTACCTGACTAAGGCTGCAGGTTTAAAAATGCCATCCAGCTTTAATTTTTGGAATGTAAGAAACAAGCATCATTAAGAGGAATTTATTTAAAGCATTTTCCTGGAACAAAATGATATTTGTTTGGAGATACAGCTGCAGCCAGAGATGTTAAAACTTCTTTCCACAGTTTGGCATCTGTCTATGGGTTTGCATCATTCTCTTCTCTCGTTACCAACTAGGGGTCTTTATTTCTTGTGGTCCCTGCGCCTTCCAGTTGCTCATGAGCTTCATGTCACAAAATCGAGGGTTGCAGAGAAAGATTGACCCCTTCATGCTGCCTCCAGCTTCCAGGAAGTACCATGTCTGTCCACGTCTGGCTAGGTAACTCTCTGGGCAGCTGCTGCCAGAATTATGTGGCTGAAATGAGGAAGAAGAAGCCCTTTCCTGAAAGAGGGGTTGTGCCAGGGGCCAAGGTGGAGTGTTCTATGTTCTAAGAGGACACTTTCTGAATCAGGCCCCTGAGTTGATGTTATGTCTCTTGACTGGGGAGTAATCACCAGGACTTTGGGGTTCCTAGAATTGGATTACAGTGTGATGGCTGTGTTTATGTCACAGTGGAGGCTGAGACATAGGAGTAGAGCTGAGAAACATCTGAGGCAATCTTGAAGCTGGCCTGGCAGCTGGACCGTGCAGGACTCTGGGGATGAGGAAAGGCTACCGCTGGGTAGGGCGGATGTGGACATTGCAAGCGTGGGTACTGTGGATGAAGACACGGCTGGACAGTGTAGGAGTGGGCACTGGGGATGAGCTGGGCAGTGCAGGTGGAAGGACCTGGGAGTGAGGAAAGGCTGCAGCCCCTGCACTGCTGCTGCCAGAGGTTCCCACCTAGCAGGAGGTGATTTGCATTCTTCTTGCAGTGCCTGTAACAGTGTATACAGTTGTCCCTCAGTATCCTTGGGAGATCCTTCCAAGACTCCCAATCTGCAGATGTTCAAATACCTTATTTAAAACAAATTTTATTTGCATAGAACCCAAGCACATCTTCCCACATACTTGAAATCATCTATACCTGAAACAATGTAAATGCTGTGTAAATAGGTATTCTAGTTTTTTGCTTGTATTTTGTTTTGTTATTTTTATTGTGTTTATTTTTCCAAATATATTTGATCCAAACAAGGTTGTTTGAATCCCAGGATGCAGAAGACCAATAGAAACTGATTTCTGTGAGCAACAACATAATGAGACTTATCAACCTGAGTACAACAGCAGGCATCACTGTAGTCCCTGCACTGGGCTGTGCGTGACTGCTGTGTAGTCCCTGCACTGGGCTGTGAGGAGGCACTGCATCCTCGGGTATTGTCCCTCTGTGATGGGGCCCAGTTTGCCGGAGTTCCACTGAGGCAGGACTCAGCACTAGGCAGTGAACAGATCCTGTTTCTGAGGTGTCTTCTACATGTTCTGCTGCCTCAGGGATGAGGAGCAACCTTGGCTCCACCTGTCTCCACCAATGTGTAAAGCCAATTTCCTACTGAAGGCAGGGAACACCACCACCTCCCACCTGCAGTCCCCGACCCTATGCAGTTTACACAGTGTCTCTTCATTCGTTAGTTGTCATGGTGAAGAAAGAAGTCAGTAGCAAAATGACCCTCTTATGGAATTATGAAATGGGGTTGTCATGGGGAACAGTGATCTGCAGGGGACCTGGGGACCTTGACACTAAGCAAGTGAGAAGGCAGCCAGCTGTCCTTTAACAGCTACTGTTTGTCCAGCATGCAGGTAAGTTAGTCCCAGTGACTCCAGTAGACCATGACGGTGATAATGCAAGAGGGGTGCTAACTCGAAATAGTGGCTTTACACGGATCACGAGGTCAAGAGATCAAGACCAGCCTGGCCAACATGGTAAAACCCCGTCTCTACTAAAAATACAAAAATTAGCCGGGTGTGGTGCCGTGTGCCTGTAGTCCCAGCTACTCAGGAGGCTGAGGCAGGAGAATCGCTTGAACCCAGGAGGCAGAGGTTCCAGTGAGCTGAGATGCGCCATTGTGCTCCAGCCTGGCAACAGAGTGAGACTCTGTCTGGGTGGTGGCGCCGGGGGGGTGGCGTGGAGAAGCTTTTGTGCAACAGTTCAGAGGAACACAAAAGAAGAGAGATTGTGCTGATGCCCTTCATCCCTGTCACTGTCTTAGATAACTGTCAGCGCATGGCCAGGGTAATCATTTCACTAAATAGTCATTAAATATTCTAGTTTGTATCTTTCAAAGAGAACTTTTTTTTTTTTTTTTTTTTTTGAGATAGAGTCTTGCTCTGTCACCCAGGCTGGAGTGCAATGGCGAGATCTCAGCTCATTGCAACTTCCACCTCCCGAGTTCAAGCAATTTTCCTGCCTCAGCCTCCCAAGAAGCTGGGATTACAGGTACCCACCACCACGCCCAGCTAATTCTTTGTACTTTTAGTAGAGACGGGGTTTTGCCATGTTGGCCAGGCTGGTCTCAATCTCCTGACCTCAGGTGATGTACCCACCTTGGCCTCCCAAAGGCTGTCTAAAAAAACAAAAAGAAATAGTGGCCTTACATGTGCTGCACTAAGAGCTTCACAGATACTCACCCAGACCAATGTTCAGAGACAGGGAGCATCCCCATGAGAAGTAGAGGAAGCTGAAGATGAGGAGCTGATCCCCTCACACTGTACCGTAGTCCCCTCTCATTGCCCGAGATGTGTTCCAAGACCCCGGATGATGCCTGAACCCACAGCTAATACTGACCTATATATACTGCTTTTTTTCTATACATACGTACCTATGTTCAAGGTTAATTACAAAATTAAGTACAGTGACAGATCAACAAGAGTAATGTAGAACAATTAGGACAATACGCCAGGGTCACTACTCATTTGCTTTGGGGCATTATTTATTTATTTATTTATGAGGCAGGATCTCATTCTGTCTCTCAGGCCGGAATGCAGTGGCATAATCATGGCCCACTGCAGCCTTGATCTCCCAGGCTCAAGCAATATTCCCACCTGAGCCTCAAGGTAGCTGGGGCCAGAGGCATGCTCCACCATGCCTGGCTAATTATTTTTTTTGAGACAGAGCTTCACTCTGTTGCCCAGGTTGGAGTGCAGTGGTGCGATCTCGGCTCACCGCAACCTCTGCCTCCCGGCTTCAAGCAATTCTCCTGCCTCAGCCTCCTGAGTAGCTGCGACTACAGGTGCGTACCACCACGCCTGGCTAATTTTTGTATTTTTTAGTAGAGACGGGGTTTCACCATATTGGCCAGGCTAGTCTTGAACTTCTGACCTTGTGATCCACCCGCCTCAGCCTCCCATAGTGCTGGGATTGTAGGTGTGAGCTACCGCACCTGGCCTGGCTAATTTTTAAAAACAATTTTTTGTAGAGATGGGCTCACATTATGTTGCTCAGGATGGTCTCAAACTCCTATGTTCCAAGTGATCCTAGGCTCATTTTCGCCCCCTAAAATGCTGGGAATACAGGCTAGCGCCATCGTCCCTGGCCCGGGGCCATTATTAAACTAAATAAAGGTTACTCAAACACATCAATCTTTGTCCAGTAATGCTGGACAAATGGATAACTGATGTCCCTGGCAGCACAGAGCAGGAGAGCTAGGAATGGTGTAAGATTTCATTATGCTACTCAGAATTGCCTGCAATTTCAAAGTTATGAATTGTTTACTTCTGGAATTTTCCATTGAATATTTTTGGAGACACTCAGGCATGTGAGACTGAAACCATGAAAAGCAAAACTGCAGATAAGCGAGGGATACTACAGTTATTGAACGTGGAACCCAGGTATGGCTCAGACCTGGCCCAAAACTCAACTTCGGGGACATGCCCACTGACATTAACTTCCTGGCATTGCCCACCTGGCCTTAACTTCTCAGACATCCCTACTCGGCCTCAAACAGCTGATACTATTCACCTGATTTTAACCATCTGGTTTGACCCTCCCAGCCTTATACACAGAGCCTTCACAGCTGTCCTTTCACATTCTAGTCTTACGTAGGCGGCTATAGATTCCTGGCCTTAACCTCTGGCCTTACCCATGTGGCCTTAATCTTTTGGCCTTAATCCCCTGTCCTTACAAATGGAATGTTACCCACCTACCTTAACCTCTTCAACTTACACACCTGATGTTCACCACGTAACTTTATAGAGCTGGCCTTCACTTCCTGGCCTTATCTACCTGGCCTTAACCACTTGGCATTATTCACCTTCCGGCCCAACACACTAGGCCTTACTCACGTGGCCTTATTAAACATATGACCATACTCACCCACCTGGCCTCACCTAGCATGACTTAATCTTCAGGACTTATACCCATCTGGTGTTAACCATGTACCTTTACTCAGCGGGGCTTCACCTCCAAACAGCACCCTCTCTGTCCCACTCATGTATAATTAGCCTCTTGTCATTTAGCTGGCTTACAGACTTGGCCTTGATCCTCCCAGAAGTTTCCCCATTGATTTACCAGCCTGATGTGTTAACCAAATAGTTTTTTATTCAGCTGGATTTAAACACCAATTTTAACAACCTGGACTTACTCACCAGATGTTACTTAACTTGATGGCCTTAATCACCTTATCTTGTCCTCATAGTATTACTAATCTGGCTTTATCCACCTGGCCTTATGAAACTCCTGGCCTTACCCAGTCTTAATTTTCTGGCCTAAAAGAACCGGGCTTACCAACCTGGCCATAACCTCCTGCCTTTAACCACCTGTTTATAACCAGTTATTTAATTTGCTGGCCTCATTCTCTGGTCAGTATCCAACTGATCTTACCCATGAGGCCTTACACCCTGGCCTTACCCGCCTCATTTTACTGCACGGGGCAGACCCCACTAGCCTTCCTCACCTGGCCTTCCCCTATGGGCCTTAACCTCATGGCCCTAACAACCTGGATTAGCCACCTAGTTTCCCCACTTAGTCTTACTGACCATACATGACCCACATGGCCTTTATACTTAATTGACCCAAATGTCCTTAACCTTCTGGTTTTACCTACAGGCCTTAGCCCCTAGGCCTTACCCCACTGGATTTATCTCTCTAGGTTGATTCCTCTGGACTTATCCCCCTTCCATTATTCTCTAGATTTCCCCTGCCCAGTCTTAGACACCTTTCTTAACCCATCTGGAGTTAACCAACTGGCCTTAAACTCATGGCTTTACCAACCTGGATCACCAACTGAGCTTACCAACCTGCCCTTCCCGCCTGGCCTTATCCTTCCATTCTTAGTCACATGGACATCTTCCTGGCCTAAACTGCCTAGCTTTAACCTCTTAGCACTACCCAATTGGAGTTATCAATCCACCTTTAATCAGTAGGCCACTGGGTTGAGGCCTACTGATTAAAGGTGGGTTGACAACTCCAATCGGATAGTGCTAATCACCTGGACTTTTAAATTCCTTGGCATCCTGACTTGGTCTTACATCACCTTGGTCTTAACCTAGATCTACCCACCTGCCTCGTTAACCTCCTGGCCTTACTCATCCAGTATTACTCCTGTGACGTTATGCACCTGACTTATACAACTGACCCTATTGGTATTAACCTCATGGTTTTACCAACCAGAATTACTGAGCTGATTTTGCCTACTCAACCTTACTCTGCTGGCCTTCAGAATTTGTCTCAACCTTCTGGTCTGAGTCACCTGTCCTGGCTCTACCGGCCTTAATCTAGTGGCATTATCCTCTGTCCTTGCCCCAGGCCATACTTTCCTAGCCTTCACCTTTTGGCCTGACCACATGGCCTTATCCAGCTGACTTTATGCACTTGACCATTTAAGCCTCCTGGATTTACCTGCTAGGTGTTAGCCACCTGGCCTTACTAGACTTATACCCATATTCATCTGCCTGGCGTCACCAAGCATGACTTAATTTGCTGGTGTTATACTCATCTTGTGTTAACTAGCTAGCTTTATCCAGCTGGCTTTCAGCTCCTCACCTTACCCTCAGTGTCTTACCCATGTGGTATTAGCCTCCTGTCATAATTGAGGTAGCTTGCAGACTTGGCCTTAATCCTCCTGGGGGTTTCCTTATTGATTTACCAGCCTGGTGTTAACTAAATAGTTTTTTTAATTCATCTGGATTTAAACAACGTGGTTTCAAAAACCTGCCCTTCCTCACCAGACCATATTAACCTTACTGTCTTAATCACCTTATCCTCATGGTATTACCAATCTGGCTTAATCCATTTGGACTTAAATAATCGCCTAGCCTTACTCACTCAATCTTAATTTTCTGGACTGACATACCTGGCCTTACCCACCTCATTTTACCACCCTGGCCAGAACCTGTTAGCCTTCCCCACCTGGCCTAACCCTATTTGCATTAACCGCATGGTCTTAAAACCTGGAGTAGCCACCGAGTGTTGCCATCTGGTCTTACTGACCATATATAACCCACATGGCCTTCACAATTGGTTTACACGGTGGTCCTTAACTTTCTGGTTTTATATACCTGGTCTTACCCCCTTGGCATAAGGCCCCTGGATTTACCTTTCTAGGTGTATTCCCCTAAACTGAGCCCTACCCTTATTCCCTAGATTTCCCCTCGTGTCCTCCTGTGACTGAGACACCTTGCATTACCCATTTGGACTTACCCAACTGGTCCTAACCTCACGGCCTTACCAACCTGGATAACCAACTTAGATTTTCTACCTGGACTTGCCACCTAGTGTTAAACTTCCATTCTTAGTCACATGGCCTTCATCCCCTTGCCTGAACTACCTAGCTTTAACTTCTTAGCATTACATAATTGGAGTTACCACCTAGCTTTATCCAGTAGGCCTTAAACTGCTGGCCTAATCCACCTGGCCTTTTAAATTACTTGGCTTCCGGACTTGGTCTTAACCTAGATTTACCCACCTGCCTTGTTAACCTCCCGGCCTTACTTACTCAGTGTTAATCCCCAGGTCTTACACACTTGGCTTACCCACCTGGCCTTACCCTACTGGTGTTAATGTCATGGCTTTACCTACCAGAATTAGCCAATTGGTCTTACCAACCCAGACTGACCCAGCTGGTCTTCATAATTAGTCTCAACCTTCTGATCTTACTCACCTGTCCTAGCCCTACGTGCTTTAACATCGTGTCATTATCCTCTGGCTACCCCGGCTATACTTTCCTAGCCTTCACCTATTGGCCTTACCACATGGCCTTAACCACTTGGCCTTATTAACCTCCTGGCTTTATTCACTAGGCCATAACCACCACCTAGGCTAATTAAACTTATAGCCATGCTCACCTGCCTTAGTCACCTGCCTGGCCTCACCAAGCATGACTTAATCTGCTGGCCTTATATCCATAAGGTGTTAACCAGATAGCTGTATTAAGCTGGCCATCACTTCTTCCCTTCCCCTCAGTGTCTTCTCCACCCAGTGTCATTATTTACCTGGCTTACCAACTTGGGCTTCATCCTAAGGCCTGGGTGTTTCCCTGTTGATTTACTGGCCTGGTGTTAACCAAATGGTTTCTTATTCAGCTGGATTTTAACACCTGGTTTTAATAACCTGGTTGTACTCACCAGACTTTATTAATCTCATTGCCTTATCTTATCCTCATGGTATTATGAATCTGGCTTTACCCATCTGGCCTTACTAAATACTCATGGACATGCTCACCCAGTCTTAATGTCCTGGCCTAAGAGACCTATCCTTATCCACCTGGCCATAACTTCCCACCATTTTCCACCTATTCTTAACTACCTGGCTGTCCTCAATGCCCGTCAGTACCCACCTGATCTTACTGATGAGGCCTTACTCCCCTGCTGATACTCCCTGGCCTCACCCACCTCATTTTACTGGAATGGCCAGACCCCAGTATTCTTAGCCTCCTGGGCTAACCCTATTGGCCTTATCCTTGTGTACTTAACAACCTGGAGTAAGCAACTAGTTTTCCCACCTGGTCTTACTGAGCATACATGACCCACGTGGCCTTCATACTTGGTTTACACAACTGTTCTTAACCTTCTAGTTATATCTACCGGGACTTAACCCCCTGGATTTACCTCCCTAGGTTCACTCCCCTAGACTTAGGCCCCTTTACTTACTCCTCAGATATCTGCCCCCCTGGATGTAGACACTTTGCATTACCCATCTGGATTAGACTGGTCTTAACCTCATGGCCTTACCATCCAAGATTACCGACTTAGCTTACCTCCCTGGCCTTCCTCCCTGGCCTTAATGTTCCATTCTCACTCACATGGCCTTAACCTTCTGGCGTAAGGTGCCTAGCTTTAAACTCTTAGCTTTACCCACTTAAACTCAGCCACCTAGTTGTATTCAGGGAGGCCTTAACTTACTGGCCTTACCCATCTGGCCTTTTAAATAGCTTGGCTTCCTGACCCGGCCTAAGCCTCATGGTTTTGCCAACTTAGATTTACCCACCTGCCTTATGAACCTCCTGGCCTCACTCATTCAGTATTAATCCCCTGGCCTTATGCACCTGGCTTACCCACCTGGCCTTACCCTACTGGCTTTAACATCATGTCCTTACCAACCAGAGTTATCCAACTGATCTTACCTACTCGGCCTTAACCAATTGGCCTTCACAATTAGTCTCAACCTTCTGGTCCTACTTAGCTGTCTCAGCCCTACTGGTCTTAATCTAGTGTCATTGTCTGCTGTCCCAGCCCCTGACTTTACTTTCCTGGCCTTCACCTATTGGCTGTATTTTCTTGGCCTTACCCACTTGGCCTTGTTCAACTACTGGCCTCACCCAGTAGGCCTTCTACAACTGACATGATCAACCTGACAGCCAGACTCACCTGCCATATTCACCTGCCTGGCCTAAGCCAGCATAATATGACTTAATCTGCTGGCCTCATACCCATCTGGTGTTGACTACATGGTTTTATTCAGCTGGCCTTCACCTCCTTGCCTTCCCTGCACTGTCTTGCCCACCTAGTATTAGTTTCCTGTCATTATTTAGCTGGCTTGGCAACTTGGCATTAATCCTACTGGGAATTTATCCTTTGATTTACCAGCCTGGGGTTACCCAAATAGTCTTTTCTTTGGCTAAATTTAAGTGCCTGGTTTTAATGATCTGGCCTTACTCACCAGACTGTATTAACCTCGTTGCCTTAATTACCTTACCCTCATGGCATTATTAAACAACCTTCATCCATGTGGCCCTATGAAACTCCTGGCCTTACTGACCCAGGCTTAATTTCCTGGCCTGACTAATGGTCTTGACCTTATCTACCTGGCCATAACTTCTCGCCATTATCCACCTGTTCTTACCCACCTGGCTTTAATTCGCTGGCCTCAGTCTGCTGTCAAGACCTACCTGGTCTTGCCCATGGCACCTTACTACCCTTTCTTTACTCCCTGGCCTTACCTACTTCATTTTCTCACCCTTGCCAGAACCCATTAGCTTTCCACACCTGGCCTAAACCTATGGGCCTTAACCTTATAGTCTCAGCAACCTGGATTACCTACCTAGTTTTCCTACCTAGTCTTACTCATCATGGGTTTCATGCTTAGTTTACACAGCTGTCCTTAACCTTCTAGTTTTATTTACCAGGGCTTAGTCCCCAGTCTTATTTTTCTAATTTACCTCCCTAGGTTTCCTCCCCTGGACTTATTTCCCTGCCCTTATTACCAAGATTTCCCCCCCCACCTGGACTTAACACACCTTACATTTCCCACTTGGACTTCCCCATCTGGCCTTAACCTCATGGCCTCAATAGCTTACCAACCTGGCCTTCTCACCTGGTCTTAGCCTTTCATTCTTAGTCACATGGCCTCAACCTCCTAGCCTAATCTGCCTAGCATTAACTTCTCAGCCTTACCCAGTTGGAGTTATCCACCTAGCTGTACTTGATGGCCTTAATTTTACTGGCTTTACCCATCTGGCTTTTTCAATCGCTTGGCTTCCTGACCCAGTGTTAACATCATGGTTTTGCCAAAATAAATTTACCCACCTGCATTATTAACCTCCTGACCTTACTCATTCAGCATTAATCTGCTGGCCTTATGCACCTGGTTTACCCACCTGGCCTTACCCTACTGGCCTTAACTTCATGTCCTTACCAACCCGAATCACCCAACTGATTTTATCTACCCAGCCTTACCCATTTGGCCTTCACAATTAGTCCCAACTTCTGGTCTTGCTCACATCTCACAGCCCTACTGGCCTTAACCTGGTGGCATTATGCCTAGTCCTGACCCATGACCTTACTTTCCCGGACCTCACCTATTGACCTTCCCATGTGGCCTTATTTATCTGGCCTTACCCACTAGGCCTTCCCCACCTGACCTTATTAACTTTAGGGCCATACTCACCTGCTCTCTTCACCCACTTGGCCTCAGCCATCATGACTTAATCTGTTGGCCTCATACCCTTCTGGTGTTGACTACCTGGTTTTATTCAGTTGGCCTTCACCTCCTCGCCTTCCCACACTGTCTTACACAACTAGCATTAGCCTTGGGTCATCGTTTGTCTGGCTAGGAGAATTGCCCTTAATCCTACTGGGTGTTTCCCCCATCGATTTCCCGGCCTGAGAAAAGTCTTTTTATTTGGCTGGTTTTAAACACCTGGTTTTAACAACCTGACTGCACTCGGCAGAACTTATTAAGCTCCTTGGCTTCATCATTTTATCTTATCCTCGTGGTATTACAAACCTGGCATTATCTGTCTTTATTAACCTCCTGGCCATACTCACCAAGTCTTAATTTCCTGGCCAAAAAGTCCTTCCCTTACCCGCTTGGCCATAACTTCCCGCTCACCATTATTCACCTGTTCTTACCCACCTGGATTTAATTTCCTGGCCTCAATCTCTGGTCAAGACCCATCCCGCCTGATCTTGCCCATGAGGCCATACTCAGCTGCCTAACTTACTCCCTGGCTTTATCCACCACATTTTACATCCCTGGTCAGATCCCATTAGCCTTCCCCACCTGGCCTAACCCTATGGGCCTTAACCTCATGGCCCTAAAAACTTGGATTAGCCACGTAGTTTTCCCACCTCGTCTTACCAACCATACATGACCCACATGGGCTCCACACTTGGTTAACACAACTGTCCTTAGCCTTCTGGTTTTACCTACCAGGACTTAACCCCCTGGATTTACCTCCCTAGGTTTACTTTCCTGGTCTTATCCCCCTGCTTTTACTCCCTAGATTTACCCCCAACTGCATGACCTCAT
This sequence comes from Homo sapiens, assembly GCF_000001405.40. Taxonomy (NCBI): domain Eukaryota; kingdom Metazoa; phylum Chordata; class Mammalia; order Primates; family Hominidae; genus Homo; species Homo sapiens. Next base: position 231,303,074 of record NC_000001.11, read on the forward strand.
CCCCACATTTTGACACCTTGCATTACCCACCTGGCCTTAATTTCATGGCCTTACCAACCTGGATGACCAACATAGCTTACCAACCTGGCCTTCCTGCCTTGTTTTAAGCTTTTGTTTTTACTCTCATGGCCTTAACCTCCTGGCCTAATCTGCCTAGCTTTAACCTCTTAGCATTATCCAGGTGGAGTTAGCCACCTAGCTCTATTCAGGGAGGCCTTAACTTACTGGCTTTAGCCACCCAGCCTTTTCAATTGTTTAGCTTCCTAACCATCTTAACCTCATGGTTTTGCTAACTGAGATTTACCCACCTCCCTTATGAACCTCCTGGCCTTACTCATCCAGTATGAATCTCCTGGCCTTATGTACCTAGCATACTCACCTGACCTTACCCTACTGGCATTAATGTCCTGTCCTTACCAATCTGAATCACCCAACTGATCTTACCTCCTCAGCCTTACCCACTTACCTAAGCCTTACCTTACCCATTAATTTGCCTTAACAATTAGTCTCAATGTTCGATTCTTCCTTCCTCAATTGCCCCAGCCCTACTGGTCTTAACCTGGTGTCATATCCTCTGTCCCAAACCTTGGCTTTCCTTTCCTGGCCTTCACCTGGTGGCATTCCCACATGGCCTTATTTACCTGGCCTTACCCACTAGGCCTTCCCCACCTGACCTTATTAAGCTTAGGGCCATACTCATCTGCCCTCTTCACCTGCTTGGCCTCAGCCAGCATGGGTTAATCTGCTGGCCTTATACCCTTCTAGTATTGACCAACTGGTTTTATTCAGCTGGTCTTCACCTCCTCACTTTCCCCACACTGTCTTACCTACCTAGCATTAGCCTTGGGTCATCATTTGTCTGATTTGGCGACTTGCCCTTAATCCTACAGGGTGTTTCTTCCGTTGATTTCCGAGCGTGGGTCTTTTATTCAGCGGGATTTAAACACTTGTGTTTTTTTGTTTTTTGTTGTTTTTTGTTTTGAGATGGAGTTTCGCTCTTGTTGCCCAGGCTGGAGTGCAATGGGGCAATCTCGGCTCACCACAACCTCTGCCTCCCCACAACCTCCGCCTCCCGGGTTCAAACGATTCTCCTGCATCAGCCTCCCAAGTAGCTGGGATTTACGCATGTGCCATCATGCCTGGCTAATTTTGTATCTTTAGTAGAGATGGGGTTTCTTCATGTTGGTCAGGCTGGTCTCAAACTCCCGACCTCAGGTGATCCACCTGCCTCGGCCTCCCGAAGTGCTGCGATTATAGGTGTGAGCCACCACGCCTGGCTTAAACACCTGGTTTTAACAACCTGACTGCACTCAGCAGAACTTATTAAGCTCTTTGGCTTCATCACTCATCTTATCCTCATGCTATTACAAACCTGGCATTATCTATCTGGCTTTATTAACCTCCTGGCCATACTCACCGAGTCTTAATTTCATGGCCTAAAAGTTCTGCCCCTACACACCTGGCCAGAACTTCCCGCTCGCCATTATCCACCTGTTCTTACCCATCTAGCTTCAATTTGCTGGCCTTGATCTCTGGTCAAGACCCACGTGATCTTGCCCATGAGGCCTTACTCCACTGCCGTTACTCCCTGTCCTTGCCCACCTTGTTTTACAGCCCTGGCCATGCTCCATTAGCCTTTCTCACCTGGCCTAAACCTATGGGCCTTAACCTCATGGCCCTAACAACCTGGATTAGCCACCCAGCTTTCCCATCTAGTCTCAACAACCATACATGACCCACATGGCCTTCACACTTGGTTTACACAACTGTCCTTAGCCTTCTGGTTTTATCTACCAGGACTTAAACCACTGGATTTACCTCCCTAGGTTTACTTCCCTGGACTTATCCCCCCTTGCCCTTATTCCCCAGATTTACCACTGCTCCCTCACCCCATCCCCCAGACTTAGACACCCCCCATTAGCCACCTGGACTTACCCACCTGGCCTTAACTTTATGGCCTTACCCACCTAGATGACCGATATAGCTTACTAACCTGGCATTCCCACCTGGCCTTAACCTTTTGTTCTAACTCACATGGCTTTAACCTCCTGAACTAACCTGCCTAGCTTTAACCTCTTACTATTACCCAGGTGGAGCTATCTACCTACCCATATTTAGGGAGGCCTTAACTTACTGGCATTACCCACCCAGGCTTTTCAATCACTTGGCTTCCTGACCCAGTCTTAACCTTATGGTTTTGCCAACTTATATTTAACCACCTGCCTTATAAACCTCCTGGCCTTTTGCATTCAGTATGAATTCCCTGGCCTTATGCACCTGCCTTACCCACCTGTCCATACCCCACTGGTGTTAAGATCGTGTCTTAACCAACCAGTAGTACCCAACTGATCTTACCTTCAAAACCTTCCAGTTGCCATTCATAATTCATCTCACTCTCTGGTCTTTTCTGTTCTAGTGCTACTGGCCTCAAGCTGGTATCATTATCCTCTGGACTTACCGCTGGCCTTAGTTTACTGGCTTTTACCTATTGTTCTTACCACATGGCCTTATCTACATGGCCTTAGCTACTAGTCCTTAGCCCCCTGGCCTTACTTCCTTGGCCTTACCCATCTATTTTTATATTCCTGTCTTTATGCACCTGTCCCTACTTACCTGGATTTACAAAACTGGCCTTTCCATCTTTCCGTTAATGTCCTGGATGTGACCTCCTAGCCTTCACCATGAAGACGTACACACCTAGTGCTAGCTACCTAGCTTCACACAGCTATCATTAGGGACCCGGGCTTGCTTCCTGCATTAACCTTTTGATGTTAATATCCTTGCATTGAACTCTGGCTTTAGCACTGGGTCTTTATGTTTCTGCCTTGTCAATCTCCAGGCCTTACTCATCAGATACTATCATCTTGTTTTTTACCACCTGGCTTTCAATTATTGGCTTCATCAACCTCGTGGCCTCACATATTACTAATGTCCTGGCCTAACCTGGTTTTATCCATCTGTCCTTAATGTAATGGTCTACCCCTGTGACTTTATACTGCGCTAAACCCCAGGGCCTCAGCTTCATGGCTTTACCTTTTTTGTCTTACCTACATGGATATGTCCACCTGGATTTACCAACCTGGACTTATCAACCTGGACTTACCGCCTGGACTTTACCTTCTGAGTTAGCCAACTTGCCGTTATTAATATTATGGCCTTATCCACCTTGGTCTCAACTTCCTGGCCTGAAGTAAATGGGCTTAGCCATCTGCCCATAACCTCTTGATCTCACGTATCAGGCCTTATGCCCCTGCCCTTGACTACATCTCTGAATCCCCCACCACCACCTTCTGCCTTACTTTCCTACTCTCTTTGTGTGTGTGTGTGTGTGTGTGTGTGTGTGTGTGAGATGGAGTTTCACTCTTGTCGCCCACGCTGGAGTGCAATGGCACGATCTCAGCTCACCACAACCTCCACCCCCAGTTTCAAGCGATTCTCCTGCCTCAGCCTCCCGAGTAGCTGGGATTACAGGCATGCGCCACCACACCCAGCTAATTTTGTATTTTTAGTAGAGACGGAGTTTCTCCATGTTGGTCAGGCTGGTCCCCAACTCCCGATCTCAGGTGATCTGCCTGCCTCGGCCTGCCAAAGTGCTAGGATTACAGGCGTGAGCCACCGCGCCCGGCCGACCTTTCTACTCTTTACCCCTAGCCCGTACCCACCTGGCCTTAAGCTTCTGGCTTTACCCACTCGGTTCTCTATGCCTGGACTTACGAGCTCCCTCATTTTACCCGGTCTTAACCTAAAGGCCCTCCCCACCTGACATATCCACCTGAGTTAGTCACTATTTTTTATTCACCTAACCTTAATCTATTGGCCTTAACCACCCAATCTTACCCACCTGGCCTTATCTACCTGGCCTTATCCACCTGGGCGTAATCTTCTTGACATACATACCTAGTATTTTGTCACTGGCCTTACACTTCTAGCCTTAACCCACAGGTCTTACCCCCTGACCTACCCAACTGGTCTTATTAGTCTTCTGGCCTCAACCCACTTTGCTTACATACCTAGCTAACACACCTGGCCTTACCCACCTAGGCTTAATTTCCTGTCACTACCCACCTGTCCTTATGTCCCTGGCCTTCCCATGTGGCAGTAACCTCATGGCCTGAACTCCTGGCCATGGCTTCCTGGCCTTACACTCATGGCCTCACCCTGACGGCATTTCTCCCTGTACCTACCCCATGCCTTACTTAACTGAACTTACACACCTCACCTTATTAACCTCCTGGCCATACTGACCTATTTTTAATCTACTGGCCTTCCACACATTGCTTATACCTCTGGCCTGCCCTCTTGGCTTATCCACTTGGGCTCAATCTCCTAGCCTTGTGGTCCTGTCCTGACCCTGTAGCATTAGCCCCTAGGGTTATCCCTTGGACATTATTATCTGGACGTGGGCTACTGGACTTAGCTTGACGTTTTAACCTCCTTACCTTAACTGTCTGACCCACCTGGTGTTAGCCTATTGGCTGTTGTCAGTTGACTTACCCACCTGGTCTTAATTTTCTGGCCTTATCCTGCTGGCCTTAGCCAGCTGGTGTTTAATTTCTTACTTTTATGCTCCTGGATTTAAATTCTGGTTTTACTCACCTGGCTTACCCACATGGCCTTACGTATGTGGCTTGACCACCTGGTGTTACCAGCCAGGCCTTATCTGTGAGCCCATACTCACCTTGCTTTAATCTCATGTTCGTACTCTGTGACCTTACCCATCTTACCCATCTTGGCCTTACCCATCTTGCATTACCCAACTTACTTTATGCCCCTGGCCTTCCCTAACCCCACCAGCCTTATCTACTTGACCAGTTGCTACTGGCCTTGATGTCATGTCTGTACAAATGAGGATCACCCTCCTAGATTTCCCAAGTAGTCTAACCCGTCATGCCTTAACCGCTGGCCTTCATGCCTGGCCATAACATTCTAGTGTTACCCACCTGGATTCATCTCCCTGCCCATAACTACATGGCTATAATGTCATGTGCTGCCGCCCTGGCCATCCCCCGTAGCCCTTAACCCATGGTGCTTATCATTCTTGGTGTAGGCCTCTGGCATTCCCCTATCCTTACCCACCCAGCAGCCTTACTTTCCTGGCCTTAACTAACTGGCCTTACCCACCTGCCCATACCCACTTGGTCGTACCCACTTGGCCTTAGCTCCTTTGCCTTCTCTTCTTACCCTTACCTTACCTGGCCCACCTCCAGACCTTTACAGCCTGGCCTTGAACGCCCAGCATTAATCTCATGGCCTGTGCCCTTTGCCTTAGCCTCCTGGCTTTGCACACCTGACCCTAACCTCTTGTCCTTAAATAACCAGATGTAAATTACCTAGTGTTACTTAGCTGGTCTTAACCTCACGGCCTTACCCACCTTGTCTACCAATCTGGCTGTAATTCTTTGGCCTTGTCCCCTTTGCCTACACCCCTGGCCTCCCCCTGGCCTTACTTTCCTGGGCTAAGCCACCTGGTCTTATTAACCTCCTGGCATTACTCACCTGGTCATAATCTTATGGCCTTATGCAGTTGGCCTTAATTTTCTACCCTTATCCCTGTGGCCTCAGCCATTTAATTTTAACCCAATGGCCTTACCCCAGCCTCAGTCTAGTTGGCTTAATCCCCATGGCTTTACCCTCCCTGCGTCATCTCCCTGGTCTTATCCACCTAGCCTTGTCTGTCTGCTACTACCCACTTGCTTTTACCCAGCTGGCTTATCAGCCTTAAGGCCAGGAGCAGAGACTTACACTTGTAATTCCAGCACTCTGGGAGGCCAAGGCAGGAGGATCACTTGAGGCCAGCGGTTGAAGAGCAGCCTGGGCAACATAGTGAGACCCAGTGTCCACAAAGGGTAAAATTAGAAAAATTAGGCAGCCGTGGTAGTCTTTTTTTTTTTTTTTAATCTTGGCTCACTGCAACCTCCTTCTCCTGGGCTCAAACAATTCTTTTGCCTCAGCCTCCCGAGTAGCTGGGATTACAGGCGTGTGCCACCACGCCCAGCTAATTTTTGTATTTTTAGTAGAGATGAGGTTTCACTATGTTGGCTAGGTTGGTCTCGAACTCCTGACCTCAGGTAATCCACCTGCCTCAACCTCCCAAAATGCTGGGATTACAGGCGTGAGCCACCACACCCAGCCACCATGGTAGTCTTAACTACTCGGGAGGCTGAGGCAGGAGAATTTCTTCAGCCCAAGAGTTTGAGGCAGCAGTGACCTGATTAGGCCACTGTACTCCAGCCTGGGCAACAGAGAGATACCTTGTCTTGAAAAACAAACAAAAGTGGCTTTCCACAGCTTAGGTTAACTTCCTGCCCCTGCCTACCTAGTCTTGCCCATCTAATCGTATCCTGTGTCTATCCGGGTTCTCCAAAGAAACAGAGCCAGTGAGAGATATGTAATATGTATGAAAGATCTGTTTCAAAGAATTAGTCTATGTGATTGGGTGGGGCTAGCATGTCTCAAAACTTGATGCCGATGTCTTAAAGCAGAATTCCTTGTTCCGGAAACCTCAGTTTTTGGTCTTAAAACCTTCAACTGGTTAGGTGAGCCAAACTGACATTATTGAGATAATGTGACGTGTAACTATACATCTATATACACACATACAAATACATGTGAAATTACTTATATGTAAACCAGTAAATATATGTAAAAGGATAAATATATAATCAGTGCCTAGCACATAGTGGGTGATCAAAAAAATCTGCTATACCCTCATGGAGTGGTTTCTGCCAATATTCCCAGTTACTTGGGATGCTGAGGAGGGAGGATTGCTTGAGCCCAGGTGTTCGAGTCCAGCCTGGGCAACATAATGAGACCCTATCTCTCTTTTTTTGTTCTTGTTTTTTGAGATGGAGTTTCACTCTGTCTCCCAGGCTGGAGTGCAATGGTACGGTCTTTGCTTACTGCAGCCTCTGCCTTCAAGCGATTCTCTGCCTCAGCCTCCCAAGTGGCTGGGATTACAGGCGTGCACCACCATGCCCAGCTAATTTTTGTATTTTTAGTAGAGACGGGGTTTCGCCATGTTGGTCAGGCTGGTCTTGAGCTCCTGATCTCAGGTGATCTGCCTGCCTCGGCCTCCCAAAGTGCTGGGATTACAGGCATGAGCCACTGCGCTTGGCTCTCCCATCTCTTTTTTAAAAGCCGCTATTAGCTGCGAATATCGCTGTTCTCATTGTTATTCGCAAATCTTTTCTTCTTCCATGTATCTTCTGCTGACCTTTGGTTCTGTTTGTTTATAGTTATGTAGAGGGAGGGAAAGATTTGAAAATAGTGGTAATATTGTCCTTATATTTCCTTACTTAATCCTGAGCCTGAGTTGAGAGTGGGGTCATGTCAGGGAAACTGGGAGGTGTGGGAGTGAGGCCATGAACTTGTGCTGGGCAGCAGTATACCAAGGGAGCATCTGTGAGGTTAGCTAGGAGAAATCCCGGGTGCTTCTGGAAGTGGAGGTCCTACTCACAGATTGGGGAGTAGGTTAGATGCCCTCCCTGAGCTCTCAGGGTGGAAAGGAGGCTGGGAGTGGGCAGTGGGGCCTGGGGTGGTTAGGGATGGGGTAACCCCAACCCGTTACCCCGTCATGGAGAAATGGAGAAATGGCATTCCCACTGCAGCTTTCTGCCCTGTTGTATCATTGAACTTGTGCATGTGAACCTTCTAGATGTGCAGGCACAGGGCTAAGACTTGTGGAACAGGGCCAAGTCAAGGCTGGGTAGGACTTGGGTGGCACCAAATGAAATCAGTATTAAAGGCCGGGCGCAGTGGCTCACGCCGGTAATCCCAGCACTTTGGGAGGCCGAGGCAGGCAGATCACCTGAAGTCAAGAGTTCGAAACCAGCCTGGCCAACATGGTGAAACCCCGTCTCTACTAAAAATACAAATAGATTTAGCTGGGCGTGGAGGCACCCGCCTGTAGTCCCAGCTACTCGGGGAGGCTGAGGCAGGAGAATCTCTTGAAGCCAGGAGGCGGAAGTTGCAGTGAGCCAAGATCGTGCCACTGCACTCCAGCCTGGGTGACAGAGGTAGACTCCGTCTCATACATACATAGATATATACATACATAAATGTTAAAGACAGACTTGAATTGAGCTCAAATTCAAACAATTTAAGTCTCTTACACATTTCCAAAGAAGAACAGACTCTTTTGATGTGAAATAGGCTAGTTGTGGACTCAAGGAAAATTGACGATGTAAAGAAATCTGGATAGTTTGGATCTGTTTTACAAAAAACATCTGATTTGTAAATGATCATTTTATCCTTTTTTCAGTGTGTGCATCTCCTGTCCTGTGTTTTCATTTACCACAGGACTGTAGTTCTGAGAGCAATTCTCAAGGGGAGTCTGGTCAGACACGTAAGAATGTTATTAATTACAAAAATAAGAAAGGAATCTTTGCTTTTATTTTAAAGTAATACACATGTGACTTATTGTTTCAGGATATATTAGTTACCTGCATCAGTTTAGACAGTAGTGAAAAAGTACTTACATGGTAAATCACTTCTAGTTGGTAAAGAAAATGGAAACAGGATGAGTTAAAGCAAGACAAATCTTGAGTCATTATTTCAGAACCTTCGGATCTAGCCTAGAATCTTCTGAGACAAGGGTTCTGAAGACTTTAGTCTTTACTTGCTATTTTATCGTCAATGCATGTTTTTAAAAGCTGGTTCTCTTGCAACCCCTGGTACCCCAGACACTGCCCTGATAGGTCAGTCGTCTAGACACCATGTGTGGCAACAGCTGGAACTGCCTGCACCTTCTGGGCACTAGCACTGGCATAAGGACCTTGCCAATCATGCTGAGCAGGAGTGCCTAGCTTCCCCTCAGGGCACCCTCCCAAAGGCGGCTCAGATCTGGAAGATCCAAAGCCCATCTTATGACACATTAGGTGTGACCCCCAAGTGAGAGGGTTGTTGTCAACTTTTGAAGCTTTGCATTTTTATATGGTCCCCACCCATCTCCATAGCAAAATAATAGTTAATATCAGATAGCTAACACTCACCGAGTGTTTGCTGCCTGCCAGGCACAATCCCCACCTGTGATTTAATTTCCATAACTTTGTGGGGGTGATACTATTGTAATTCCCACTTAACAGATGAGGAAAGCGAGGCACAGAGAGACTCAATTACACACGTAGAGGCACATGCTCATGCAACACGTGGCCAGTGCAGATTACAGGAAAAGTCACTGCTGTTCCCTTTCATAATACATTTTAATATTATGGAAATGTGGTCCTTGAAAAAGTGGTCATTGTGCACTTACCAGGCGCGAGGGATACAGTTCCCTTGCAGCTTGCATTCTAGTGAGGAGAGACAGGAAACAAATGCTAAAATGTGCAAGATGCCAGGAGGGGCCCCTGCCCTGAAAGAAAAAGAAGAGGGAGAGTGGCTGTGTCAGGAGAGTCTCTCTGATAGGGCAGCATCTGAGCAGAGACCAGAGGATATGAGGGAGTGAGCAACAGGGCTATTTGTGGGGCAAGACAGTAAGTGCAAAGGCCCTGAGGCAGAAGCGTGCCTTCGAGGAGAAATGGCAAGGAGTGGCTGGAGGACAGCAAGTGCAGGGAGGCTGGGAGGAGATGGAGGAAAGGACAGTGAGAGCCTAGCGGGCCCTGGCCACACTGAAAGAAGCTCCTGCGAGATGGAGACTTTCAGAATAGCTCCCTTTTAAATTCACCTGAAACCAGGTGTCCGTGCCTTTCTTACCTCCAAACACATGTCTCTGAACTGCATAAGGAGCCTGGAGGGCTGATGGTAGCCGGGACTACAGGCGTGCACAACCACACCTGGCTACTTTTTGTGTTTTTTGGTAGAGACAGGGTTTCACCATCTTGCCCAGGCTGGTCTTGAGCTCTAGAGGCAATCCACCAGCCTCGGCTTCTGAAAGCCCTGGGATTATAGGTGTAGGCCACTGCGCCTTGCCCACTAAGGTTTAATTTGTGGGTATGTGCGTGAGCACATGTACCTGCACAGTCCAATACAAAGCCTGTAACACTTAATTATCTTCATTTTTTTTTCTTTTTTGAGAGGGAGTCTCACTCTGTCACCCAGGCTGTAGTGCAGTGGCACGATCTTGACTCACTGCAACCTCCACCTTCTGGGTTCAAGCAATTCTCCTGCCTCAGCCTCCTGAGTAGCTGTGCCCACAGGCACCGAACACCACGCCCTGCTAATATTCGTATTTTCAGTAGAGACAGAGTTTCACCATGTTGCCCATGCCGGTCTTGAACTCCTGACCTCAAGTGATCCCGCCTGCTTCGGCGTCCCATAGTGCTGTGATTACAAGTGTGAGCCACCACGCCCAGCCAGTTATCATCGTATTTTAACAGACCATGTTGCCAACATGATGTTCAATGTCTTCCATTTTGAAAAGTTAAAGATACTGTGGTTCACTCTGCAACCCATATTAACTGGTACATGAGCTTTCTCCTCTTTCTCCTCTGGGACTGGATAGTTTAGGTGAAGAAACACTGCGCCTCCAAGGGCTCCTGATTCTGTACAACATTATCTACCTTGAGCCATTTTTGACTCTTCACGTGTATATAACAACCAATAATGAGTCCTTTAACAAGGTAACGGCAGTGGAAATGTATAATAAATGTTGAAGACTTTGTGGTTAAACATACCTGTTCATTGAGGTGGGTCTTGTCCCTGTAGATGTAAGTTCCCTTCGTAGTGGCTAAGACTGCAGGTGGGTGCCACCACTGTAGGGGTCTAACTTGGAGCTTGCTACAGAAAATCCCACGTGCCACACCCTCAGATCCATGGAGCGGGGTTTTTTCTCCAGGTGAAAAGAAAATAACAGATGGGGAAGAGCTATCCAGAGGTGGGGTGAATCCTGGCAAGCAGGCTTGGCCATGGAACGGGGTGCCCCACATTCAGCCTAGGCCACTTATTTTCTGCAGCCTTGCTACTCAAAATGCAGGGTCTGCAGACTAGGAGACCATAAGAATCAGCATCAACTAGGAGCTTGTCAAAAAGCAAAATCATAGCCCTATCCCAGAGCTGCAGCATCAGAATCTACACTAGGCAGGAATCCCAAGTGACTCCTTTGCTGTTGAAGATTTGAGAAGCAAGTGCCCTAGAATACACTGGGAAGCCATTTAAGGTGTTTGGGTCAAATATAGAGTGATTTGAGGTTTCTCCTTAGTTTAGCGCTCCTCAGTAAGACAGCCCTCCCAGGTTAACCCATTTTACACTAGGTTTTTAAGATAAAAACCACCTAGGGCTCATGGGCTCAACATTTTGGGTCTTGTCACCATAAATATTTATGAAGCACCTCTCTTGTGCAAGGCAGTGTGGCCTGAGTGGAGATGGTTTGGATATTCCAAAATGGAACCAGTTTTCCAGAATATGGAAGAAAGCTTCACTGTTGAGCACATTTTCTAAACTTTCGTGTAAATCAACGTAGGGGTTTTTGAAATTCCTTTTATACCTGTACCAATCATCAGTATAATCGCAACGTTTGCAGCAGTGGATGGTGAACTGAAAGAAGCAAAGCAGATAGATTCAATGGTCACTGAAAATCACATGTTCAAATTCAAAATGAATGTTTGGTTTTAAAAAAGCATTAGATCTATAATAATTATTCTTAATTGATTATAGTTTGGTGTCAATTCTGTAACTCAAAGTACTTCTAATGTTTCTAGCTTGTAGTATTTCTAGTGCTTTCAGATGAGTTATCATCCTTATAATTAGCAATATATATGAAAGTTTAACAATTTTTTAAATAGTTTTTCGTTTGTTCCTAAGAAGGTAAAGCATGATTCCTATAATCTCATTCACATAATACTTTCAGTTGGAAAATCATCTTCAACATGGTATAACAATAATCTCATTGAAGTATAATTAGCACAAATTCAGACGAAGTGCTATTGTTTAATGAGTTTTATATTTTTAAAAGTAAATTAATTAGGCCTCATGCATACTTCCCGGGAATCTGAAAGAGCTGATCATATCAGTTACTGTGGAGGGAGGTTTTCCTCACCCTGCCCATGAACTGCAGGGACAACAACATGGCAAAGGCTGGCCATCCTTCTTGGCTGATACTTTACTTTTACACCTTTCTTCTTTGATTGATTTTTTTTTTCCTGTATAGGAAAATATTTCCATGGGCCTTAACTTCAGGAAACCTAAATTTCAAGTTCACCTTTACCAAGGGAACCTGGATCAGTGGTTACATCAACTTCTTTGTGGCACTTGCACACAAGAGACAGGGTCTCTCTCTGTCACCCAGGCTGGAGTACAGTGACACAATCATAGCTCACTGCAACCTTGAAGTCTTGGGTTCAGGTGATCCTCCCACCTTAGTCTCTTTTTACCTTGATGTGACTCCATTTGTCCATTTTTTGCTTTGATTGCTTCTGCTTACTCAATAATTCTTTGCTCAGACCAATGGCCTAGATGGGTTTCCCAGTGTTTTCTTGCAGTAGTTTCATAGTTTGATGTCTTAAGATTTAAGTCTGTAATACATTTAGAAAATTATCTTAGTTGATCACTTATTTGGAATTAAGCTGTGTCTTTGGGAATAGCAAATGTATAGTATAGAATGTGTTGCTTGGTTATGTCTAAGCTTGGGTTCAGAGAGTTATGCAAATAAAACAACAAGCAAAGTGCTGCCATCCTCTTCGTAAGGACCATGTGTGCAGCTGGGTCAGAGGAAGGGCTGGAAGCCCAGCCCCAGTGCCGGCTACCTTTCTGACTGTAAGCAAAGTCTTATCACAGCTTGATGCCTCTGTGTTCCTATCTGCCAAATGGATGCAAAACCCCGTGTCTTGGGCTGCAATGAGAATGAAAGGAGACAGGGTAGGTGGTCAAGCTCAGTAAGGGGTCCATCATGTCACTCTGGTACTTGAGACGGGGACTGGTAGCAATGAGCCTTCTGGGCCTTCCGTGGCACTGAAGCAGGGGTCATGGGGGCCACTGGGTGGCGCCAGCGACGCTCAACCGGCAAAGAGGGGAAGGGAGAAAGCAGAGCCCAGGGAGGGCTGGAGGGAGTCTGGTCTTGAGCCAGAAAACCACAGGGGGATGGGCCGCCGATGGGCCCAGGAAATAGAGGTGGCTACCAAGAGCAAAAACAGTGGCCAGGCGCAGGCGCAGGCGCTCAGCCTGTAATCCCAGCACTTTGAGAGACTGAGGCTGGAGGATCCTTTAAGTCCAGGAGTTTGGGACCAGCCTGGGCAACATAGTGAGACCCATCTCTACCAAAAAAAAAAAAAAAAAAAAAAGAGCAACAGCAGCTATCCAAGGGTCACGTGAGCTGCCCTGCAACCTACTAGAAAGGGAACAGCCCTGGGATACAGCTCTAAGGTTCTCGTAATGAGGCTGCTAGAGGTTCAAGCTGCGACTACACATTTTTGTTTGTTTTGTTTTTTGAGACGGAGTCTCACTCTGTCGCCAGGCTGGAGTGCAGTGGCGTGATCTCGGCTCACTGCAACCTCCGCCTCCTAGGTTCAAGCGATTCTCCTGCCTCAGCCTCCCGAGTAGCTGGGATTACAGGCACACGCCACCATGCCTGGCTAATTTATACATTTTTAGTAGAGACAGGGTTTCACCATGTTGGTCAGGAAGGTCTTGATCTCTTGACCTGGTGATCCGCCCGCCTCGGCCACCCAAAGTGCTGGGATTACAGGCGTGAGCCACCGTGCCCAGCCATTTTTGTTTTTCACTGAAGTCCATTGTCTATCTTCTCTCTCACACATATTTTTCTCTTTCTCCTTTTTTTCTGTTTCTCTCTTTATTTAAAATCCTGGTGAGGCCCATTATACACAATTGACCAGTGAGCAACATAGGTTTGAGCTGCATGGGTCCACTTATACTCGAACTTTTTTCAGTAAGTCTCTCCTGCCTCCCTTTCCATCCCCTCCATCTCTTCCACCTCTGCCACCCCTGAGACAGCAAGACCAACTCCTCCTCCTCCACCTCCTGTTCTTCCTCCTACTCCTCAGCTACTCAATGTGAGGATGAGGAGGATGAAGACCTTTAGGATGATCCACTTCCACTTAATGAATAGGAAATGCATTTTCTTTTCTTATGATTTTCTTAGTAATATTTTCTTTTCTCTAGTTTATTATAATACAGTATGTATTCTTATGCATGATGTATACATATATGTATTCATATTCTTATACATACTGTATTCTTATAACATATATACATATAACATACAAAATATGTGATAATTAGCTGTTTATGTTATTGGTAAGGCTTCTGGTCAACAGCAGGCTATTGAGAGGTGACAACCTGCCAGCAGCCCTCGCTCGCTCTCGGCGCCTCCTCGGCCTCGGAGTCCGCTCTGGCCACGCTCGAGGAGCCCTTCAGCCCGTCGCTGAGCTGTGGGGACCCGTCTCTGGGGCTGGCCGAGGCCGGAGCCGGCTCCCTCTGCTTCCGGGGAGGTGTGGAGGGAGAGGCGCCTGCGGGAGCTGGGGCTGCACGCGGCGCCCGCGGGCCGGCACGGGTTCTGGATGGGCGCGGGCTTGGGGGACCCCGCACTGGGCGCGGCCAGCCGGCGCCTGCTGGGCTTGACTTGGGGATGAGCTCCCTCTGGGCTGCCAGAGTGCCCAGGCTAGGTGCCACAAAGTCCCGTGGCAAGTGCCAGTGAGAAGTGAAGCCGGCTGGGCTTCTAGGAGAGGTGGGGACTTGGAGAACTTTTCTGTTTAGCTAAAGGATTGTAAACGCACCAATCAGCATTCTGTGTCTAGCTAAAGGTTTGTAAATGCACCAATCAGCGCTCTGTCAAAATGGACCAATCAACTCTCTGTAAGATGGACCAATCAGCTCTCTGTAAAATGGACCAATCAGTAGGATGTGGGCGGGGCCAGATAAGGGAATAAACGCAGGCCACCCTGGCCAGCAGAGGTAAACTGCTGGGGTTTCCTTCCACGTTGTGGCGGCTTTGTTCTTTCGGTGTTTGCAGCAAATCGTGCTGCAGTTCACTCTTTGGGTCTGCGTGGCGTTTGTGAGCTGTGGACACTCACCGGGAAGGTCTGCAGCTTCACTCTTCAAGTCAGCGAGACCACGAACCTATGGGGAGGGATGAACAACTCCCAACGCGCCGACTTTAAGAGCAGTAACTTTCACCGCGAGGGTCCGTGGGTCCGCGGCTTCATTCTTGAAGTCAGAGGCCAAGAACCCACCAATTATGGCCACACTATCCGTAGGGAAATTTTTCGGGAGTTGAAAGTTAAAGGTGGATTTTCGAGTGCATGAGTGGTGAGTGCCCACAACCCCGGCATTGTTCAAAAGTCAGCTGTATACCTATTACATGTGTAGATGAATAGTATTTCCTGATGTTTGTGTTATTTTTCTTCTTACATTTTTCTTTACCTTTTTTCACAGTTCAAACAAGCTTTGTTTTTTTGTCTCAAAAGTTGGCAGCGGGGCAGCAAGCAAGAAATCACCAGCAAAATGTTTCCCTCTCAGACTTTTGTTTTCAATGATTGAAGCCCAAGCCAGGGTAGGATTTGCAGGAGGAGGCAGAGGGAGCAGGAGGGCGTGAAGCCTTCCCAATCTAGTAAGGAAGTTCTCTTCAGGGCAGAGGGAGAGCAAAACCCCAGAGGGGTGCAATCTTGCAAAAGGTCAATGAGCCACAAACACAGATGGGCTCAGAAGCTATAGCCTCCATAGCTTAGCACAGAGACCCGTGGAATCTGAAGGTGCTGCTGGGATGGGCAAGAGGGACAACTCAGCAGCTTCTCATCTGTTCCTGTGACTAATGACCGGGGGAAGCCCCCGGCCTCCGTACTGGTCTTGGGGCAGTGTCCCCAGCCATGACAGAAGCTAAGGCTGGGGTTGATGATATTTAACCAGGCCCTGCTCCTTCCTTACATTTGGAACTGATTGGGAAGTAGACACAAGAGGCAAGTGGATGGGAATACAAATAACTTTATTCCCAATAAACTTGGGCTTCAGGCTGTGCCTGGCCAGGCGGGCTTGTCTCTCCTTCTCTTGCCAGTTCTAGATATAGGTGGGAGCAACAGAAAAGCCTGCATATCCCGCAGGCTTTGAGCCTGGAAGTGGGATTACTTTGTAGTATTAGTTTGGGGTATTTATGTTTGTCCGAAGTACAGTCACATATTGATTACCAACGGGGATACATTCTGAGAAGTGCATTGCTAGGCGATTTCGTGGTAGTGGGAACATCATAGAGAGTAATTACGCACACCTAGATGCTGTGGCCTACTGCACACTCGGGCTACGTGGTACAGCCCGTCACTCCTAGGCTACAATCCTGCACAGTCCCTACAATCCTAGGGACTGTCCTGAGGACTGCAGGCAGCTGTAACACAAGGGTAACTGTATCTAAACATATCTCAACATAGAAAAGATAACAGTGAAAATATGGTATAAAAGATGAAAAATCATCACCTATATAGAGCGTTTAGCATGAATGGAGCTTTCAGTACTGGAAGTTGCTCTGGGTGTCAGCGAGTGAGTGGTGAGTGAATGTGAAGGCCTAGGACGCTACTGTGCACTATGGGAGACCTTAGAGACACTGTTTGCTTAGACTATGCTCAATTTATTTTAAAAATTTTCTTCATTAATAAATTCACCTTAGCTTACTGTAACTGTTGTACTTTATAAACCTTTTAATATTTCAAAACTTTTTGAAGATTGGGCACAGTGGCACATGCCTGTAATCCTAGCACTTTGGGAGGCTGAGGCAGGAGGATTGCTTGAGCCCAGAAATTCGAGACCAGCCTGGGCAACATGGTAAGACCCTGTCTCTACAAAAATTTTTTAAAACTTAGCCAGGCATGGTGGCTTGTACAGCACAATTCCATATCCCTACTCATTTTTTGACTGCTTGTTCTAACAATTACTGAAAAGGAGTATTAAAATGTCCCATTATTCTTGTGAATTTGTCTGTTTCTTTTAGAGTTGTGGACCATTTTTAGTTAAAATATATTTTGTTTGTTTTACAGATGGGGGTCTCACTGTGTTGTGCAGGCTGGCCTCAAAAACTTCTGGGCTCAAGCAATCCTCACACTTCAGCCTCCCAAGTAGCTGGGACTACAGGTGTGTGCTGCCATGCCCAGCTGATTCACATAATTCCAAGTTACGCTTTTTGCCTTAACATCCATCTTTATTTGATATCATTATGGCTATACTAGCTTTCTTTTGATTGGTGTTTGCATAGTATATCTTTTTCCATTTGTAAAGTTTTATTCTTTATATAGCTTTGTGTTCAAGATGTTATGCTCATAAGCAGCATATGACTGTTATTTATGTTGTTATCCAGTTCAAAAACCTGTATATTTCATTTAGGGATCTTGATCCATTTATATTTAACATAATTAATAATATGTTCAGGTTTAAATTTTCCATCTTACTATTTACTTTGATTTGTTCTACCCCTTTTATGTTTAGTTTTGTCTCATTTCTTTTTTTTTTTTTTTTGAGACGGAGTTTCCCTCTTTTGCCCAGGCTGGAGTGCAGTGGTGTGATCTCGGCTGACTGTGACCTCCACCTTCCAGTTTCAAGCAATTCTCTTGCCTCAGTCTCCTGAGTAGCTGGGATTACAGGTGCCCGCCACCCCGCCCGGCTAATTTTTGTATTTTTTAGTAGAAACAGGGTTTCACCATGTTGGCCAGGCTAGTCTGGAACTCCTGACCTTGTGATCCGCCTGCCTCGGCCTCCCAAAGTGTTTGGATTACAGGCATGAGCCACTGCACCCGGCCTGTCTCATTTCATTTTTACTTTGGGATTGACTGGATAATTTTTACTGTTTCATTTTCCCCCATCTATTAACTGATTAATTAAACATTTTTAACAGCTTTATTAAGATATAATTTATATACTTACAATTACCTGGATTTTATTTTTTTATTTTTGCCTTTTTAATAATTTCAACTTTTATTTTAGATTCATGGGGTCCATGTGTAGGTTTGTTACCTGGGTATATTTCATGATGCTGAGGTCTGGGGTATGATTGCTCTTGTCACCCAGGTAGTAAGTATAGTACCCAATAGCTAGTTTTTCAGTGCTTGGCTCCTCCCATCCTTCCCCCTCTAGTAGTCCCCAGTGTCTGTTGCTGCCATCTTTCTGTCCATGAGTACCCAGTGTTTAGCTGCCACTTATAAGTGAGAACATACAGTATGTGATTTTCTGTTCCTGCATTAATTTGCTTAGGATAATGGCTTCCAGCTGCATCCATGTTGCTGCAAAGGACATGATTTCATCTTTTTTTAATGGCTGCAACCTGTTTAAAGTATACAATCAACAGGTTTTGTTATTTTACACTATTAATATATATATATTTTTAATTAGAGACGGGGTTTCACCATGTTGCCCAGGCAGGTCGCGAACTCCTGAGCTCAAGCAATCCACCCACCCCAGCCTCCCAAAGTGCTAGGATTACAGGTATGAGCCACTGTGCTCAGCCCAATTTTTTTCGATTGTGGTAAAATATACATAAAATTTTCCATTTTACGCATTTTTAAATTGTGACATTAATTACATTCACGGTGTTGTACAACCATCACCATTATCTACTTTCAAAACTTTTTCATCATCCCAACAGAAACTCTGTAACAATTAAACAATAACTTCCCATCTAGCTAACTTCCCCCGTCCCCCTGCTAACTTTTTTTTTTTTTTTTTGAGACGAAGTCTTGCTCTGTAGCCCAGGCTGGAGTGCAGTGACGGGATCTCGGCTCACTGCAAGCTCTGCCTCCCGGGTTCACGCTGTTCTCCTGCCTCAGCCTCCCGAGTAGCTGGGACTACAAGTGCCCGCCACCACGCCCGGCTAATTTTTTTTGTATTTTTAGTAGAGACGTGGTTTCACCGTGTTAGCCAGGATGGTCTCGGTCTCCTGACCTCGTGATCCGCCTGCCTCGGCCTCCCAAAGTGCTGGGATTACAGGTGTGAGCCACCGTGCCTGGCCATCCCCTGCTAACTTTTAATCTACTTTCTGTCTGTATGGATTTGCCTATTGTAGAAATTTCATATAAGTGGAATCACACAATATTTGTGCTTTTGTGTTTGGTTTACGTTTTGTTTTTTTTGTTGTTGTTTTTTTTTTTGAGATGGAGTCTCACTCTGCTGCCCAGGCTGGAGTGCAATGTTGCTCACCGCAACCTATGCCTCCCAGGTTCAAGTGATTCTGCTGCCTCGCCCTCCTGAGTAGCTGGGATTACAGGTGCCCACCATCATGCCCAGCTAATTTTTTTGTATTTTTAGTAGAGATGGAGTTTCGCTATGTTGGTCAGGCTGGTCTAGAACTCCTGACCTCAAGTGATCCTCCCACCTTGGCCTCCCAAAGTGCTGGGATTACAGGCGTGAGCCACTGCACCTGGCCTGGTTTACTTCTGTTAGCATTATGTTTTTAATGTTTATTCATGTTTTATTGTATGTCTTTTTATGTTTTTTATGAAACAAAACTACATTTTGTTTCTCCATTCATCTGTTAATGGACACAAGTTGTTTCTACCTTTTGGGTATTACAAATAATGGTGCATGAACACTGCTATATCTGTAGTTAAACATTAAAAAAAAAAATTGGCTAGAGTGGTGGTTCATGCCTGTAATCCCAGTACTTTGAGAGGCTGAGGTGGGCAGATCACTTGAGGTCAGGAGTTCAAGACCAACTTGGACAACATGGTGAAACCCCATCTCTACTAAAAATACAAAAATGTGCCAGGAATGGTGGCGCATGCCTGTAATCCCGGCTACTCAGGAGGCTGAGGCAGGAGAATTGCTTGAAGCCCTGAGGTGGAGGTTGCAGTGAGCCAAGATGGCGCCACTGCACTCCAGCCTGGGTGACGGAGTGAGACTTTGTTTCAAACAAACATTCTGTTAGTAATTCCCCTAGAGATTACAATGTGAACCTTGACTTATTAGAGTATAAATAAGTAGTTTACCTCTTCACAGGCAATGCAAGAACTTAAATCACTTGAATTTTATGTACTTCTCTCCTGACTTATATGTTTTTGTTTTTATTATTTTCTTTTTTAAATTTAATTTTATTTTTAAAGACAACATCTCATTTTGTCACCCAGGTTGGAGTGCAGTGGTGAGGTAGACCACCAGAGGCACTAGCAATCCCAAATTCCCTTGATGTCTCTCTAAAATAATAATTGGTTGCAGTTGGCCCCAGGGAACAGGTGTCTACCACTAGACACAAACACCTGAAACTGATCAGCAGCTTCCCGATAAGATCTCAGGGGTAGGGCAGGTTGGCTCAAGCATGCACCCGAAAAGGAAAAATGGCAGAGTTTAACTGGTATATGACCTTCTAGGGGCATCCCACTGGTAAGGGAAGAATGCCTCAAGGGAGCATGTATACAGCCCCAGTGAACACACTGCGCATGCTCACCTCCCCAGTGCTAGAGGCCACTGCACATGCAGGCAGCCCACTCCAAGGGAACAATCGGGAGAAGGGACGCAAGACCCAGGAAGCATGCCAATGAATAAAACCCCAAGTCAAAAGGTCAGACGGTGCTCTTGATCTCTCAAGTCGTGTCTTTGGCCCTTTTCCAAGCATACTTTACTTCCCTTCCTGCTCTAAAGCATTTTAATAAACGTTCACTCCTGCTCTAAAACTGGCCTCAGTCTCTCCTCCTGCCTTATGTCCCGCAGTCAACTTCTTTTTGTCTGAGGAGGCAAGAATTGAGGTTGCTGCAGACTCATATGGATTTGCCATGGGGAACAAGACCCCACAGGTTAAGGGTTTCAATCCCATAAGACTGCCCCCACTTCAGATGCAGGTCACAAGTCCTGGGGTGTCCCAAAGCCACGTACACTTTTGCCCATCAGGGTATAAATTTGGGGCTTCCCATGACACTCCCTCTCCCTCTCCAAGGTTTGATAATTTCCTAGAATGACTCAAAGAACACAGGAAAGTGCTATATTTATAGCTACAGCTTTTATTGTAAAAGATACAACTCAGGAACAATCAAGTGGAGCATGCATAGGGTAAGATCTGGAGGGGGTGGGGGAAACAGGAGACTGTCCCTGTGGAGTCCAGGTGTGCCATCCTCCCAGTACATCAATATGTTCACCAACCAGGAAGCGACCCAATCCTCGATGTACAGTTCTTATTGAGGTTTCATTACATTGGCATGCTTGATTAAATCATTAGGCAAGTGATAAAATTCAACCTACAGTTTCTCCATCTCTTCTGTGGTGGTGGGGGGAAGCGGGGCAGGAAATTAACATTCCACTTCCATGATTATATGGTCAATTTTCTGGTGACCAGCCCCAATCCTGAAGATATCTAGGGGCCCAAATAGGAGTCACCTTATTAGCATAACAAAAACATCATTCAGGAAATGCCAAGGTTTTTTGAAGTTCTATGCCAGAAACCAAGAAAAAAGACCAGATATATTTTTTATTCTACTGCAGCCTTCAGATATATTCTTTGCATATATAATGTGTAAAGTAGTTCTAATTGTTCTCAGGGAAGGATTGGTCAGAAATGCCTAGGCCACCATAACCAGAAGCAAAATTCTCTTGCTAATCAATAAATCATATTAAATGAAAAAAGAAACAGCAAGAGAAAGAAGAGAATAAGAGAATGAAACACTGGAACAATAAAAAAGTGAATGAAACTGTAGGTAAAAAGAAAATAAACCATGAAGTGAGAAATGATTCTTTTAAAAGGAGAGAAAATGACAGCGGTGGAACAGTACTCTTGAGGCAAAGGTAAAACATTCAACATTTTTCATGATTACAGTTCTGCACCTTGCAAACTTCACTTTCCGCCTCTTTGAGGTCCCATCTTCCTTCGCAACCTAGGTAAGCCATCCAGTGAAATGTTTTTTGGCGATGGCAATGTTCTAAATCTGTGCTGTGCAGTATGGTAGTCACTAGCCACAGGTGGCTACTGGGCACTTGAAATGGGACTAGTGTAACTGAGGAGCTGCATTTAAACTTTCCATTTAATTGATAATTAACTTAAAATTTTTAAAATTGCACGTGGCTTCCATGTTGACAGTGCAATCTTAGAGGTTTCATCTTGTGACACAAGTTAGGAGCTTCTGAAGAAAGAACAGAGCCTCCACCACACCCAAATTCCCATAGCACCTTTCCCAGCTTAACACCACATAGCAAGGGCTGGAACTCTAGAATTGCAGAAATGTGACTAACATTTCCTTTGATATAGCTCAGGGTCTCTGCCTAAGTGTTACAACTCACAATTATGAATGAAAACATGATTTCTTTTTTCCAAAAGAGAAGCCAGGGGAAAAAGTTTTATATAATAACTAGAACAGACATATACAGAACAGTAACACCATCACTATTTGGAGAGATGAAAATGTCCTATATAGTGACTGGGTGTTGTTACATGGAGTAGATCCCTTTTTCAAAATTGGAGAGCTAAGATGTGTTCATTTCAATGTGTGTAAAGTTTATGTTCCAAAAAAATTGCAAAAAATAACCCCAGTGGGGATGGGGTGGAGAGTTGTTAGGTATAGTTGAAATAATAATGACAAAATACTGAGAATTGTTGAAGCTCGGTAATGGGTATATAGGGATTTATTATATCATTATGTTCCTTTTTATATGTTGAAATTTTTCCAAATAAAAAATCTTTAAAAATATGTATTCTCCAAATTAACACATACATATAGAAAAAAAGTGGCAGAAAGACACATTACAAAATGGAAAGAGTAAGTCTTATTTTTAAGACACCACGTGTATTTATTATTTCATGTTTTTAAAGGGTGATATATTCAAGCATTTTCTAAATGAAAATTCACATTTTTCCATCCCTCTCCCCATCTACTCAGTTCTACCTGCTGATACCTGTTCAGAATTTGTATGTAAGTATAAACAAATATTACTTACAATCTTATTTTCTCCTTTTCTACTCCTAAAGTAACATACTATACTATTGTTGTGCACCTTGCTTGCCATTTAACAACATATTTTAGAGATCTTGCCACATCAGTACATACAGGGCACATTCATTTTTAAGCTGCATAGTATTACATTGTATGCATGCACCAAAGTTTATTAAATAAATCTCCTATGGATACACCTTTGGGTAATTTCCAATCTTTTGCTGTGACAAAAAATGCTGCACAAAGTCTGTGAGCCTACTTTGGCTCAGGAGGCTTCCCAATTAAAACTATTTAATTAAAAAGAAAAAATGTTGCAATAAAACATCTTCATAAATCATACACATTTGTTTAATGAACACATTTCATGTATGAAGTACACAAATGTATTTGCAGGATAAATTCCCAGAAGTGGATTTCTGGGTCAAAGAACTACAATTTTGTACATTTTGTAACTTTAATGAATATTACCAATTGCCATCCACAAGAGGTGTGCCAGTTTACAGAATTCAAAATTACAAAATTCCTACCAGCAATGAGAATATGTACACAGATAACTTTAAGAGACTTACCAAGACTGGCTTGACTTGTACAACTTTGTTTAATGTGTTTAGCAAGGTAAACTAATAGATTTGAAACTAAGCCAACTTATTAGGCCAACTGATCAAATACGACATGAGAAAAAAAAACATGCTCTTTTCCTGCAGCTTTCCTATTTAAATGTCACTCACACTCAGTTTTTAGGAATTTCACCCACCTATTGCAGGAGCTAAGTTATTCCTGTCTTAATGCCCAGTGAAGTTTCTGCACGTTTGAGAATCTACTTAGTATTCCCGATTGCTCAGAATTCAGTGATGTACTGATTGGTATTAGTGGAGATAATTTGGTTTTAATTCTCTCATAAACTTCAACTTGGCTACTTTATTTTTTTTTTTAAGGAAAACCACAAAAAATACTCTCTAAAATGTGGTAATACAGTACCTGTACTTTTAACAGGGTACCTAAAATTGTGGATTGATATGACTTTGAAATAAAGATCAATCTGTACTAATGAGGTGTCAACATTATAATATTATAATCCAATAATATAATTCAGTGCCTAATAATACTAGCCTTAGAGGAAGGCTGTCTGAGTTCAGATGTTGCTTGGGTACTTACTTAGGCGACCCTTTGCAAGTGGATTGCTTGCAATTTATTTACCTTCACAAAACTTCAATTCCTTGGTAGCGTTGACATGAAGATTAAATAAAATAATCTGATAAACATGCACCACTGCTAGGAGCATCATCGTCATTGACAAATGATCCCTCCAGTGAGGGCTCACAGATTATTTGTCATAGTTTTTCATGACAAAGATTCTGATTCCTACTAATTGAGAACATCAAGAAAATGTTCTCCGGATATTTACTTAGAAGCACTGATATGAAATATGGTGCTTATACATAATTGTTTAAAGACAGAGTGAAAAGAACATGGGCTTTGGAGTTGAACAGGGTCGTGGTCTTGAATACTGGCTCTGCCACTCAGCAGCAAGACACCGTGGCCAAATAGCAATCCCTCTGAGTCTCTTATCTTTATTTTTATTTATTTATTTAGAGATAGAGTCTCACTCTGTCGCCCAGGCTGGAATGCAGTGGCGAGATATTGTCTCACTGCAGCCTCCTCCCCTGGGTTCGGGTGATTCTCATGGCTCAGCCTCCTGAGTAGCTGGGATTACAGGCACCTGCCACCTCACCTGGCTAATTTTTGTATTTTCAGTAGAGATGGGGTTTCACCATGTTGGCCAGCCTGGTCTTGAACTCCTAACCTCAAGTGATCTGCCCATCTTGGCCTCCGTGAGTGCTGGGATTACAGGCGTGTGCCACCATGCCCAGCCTCTTTCCTTATCTTTAAATGGGCATAGCATCACCTATTTTCCATGGTTAGTGTGAGGATTAAATGAGATAATGTGTGTAAAGCGTCTGGTGCAAGCTAAGCACCAATAAATGAGAACTGTCATTAGTTATTAAAGCAATACATCTAATGGTATTAATTCAATTAGCGTTTATCAATTGTGCTATGCCCAACACTGCTCTAGGGAAGCTGCTGGGAATACAAAAAATGCAAATATTCTCTGTGTGTATAACACATATCTCAATAAATACAGAATACACGTGACATACAAAAACATCTTCCACATCCCATACAAGCACTGATATAGTCTGAAACGGGGATGAGATTCAATAGAATGCCTGTTTATCTCTTTTTGGGAAGAACTTACACTGTCCCGAAGCTTAGAGTGGCTAATTATGGTTTGAAGTGATACAAGTCACCTGTACCATACTGTATTTTTTCATTCTGATTGTTTAGGAATCAAAATAAATGGGAATGTGTCTTACCATTTCAGCATTATTATTATGCTCCACATACCTTTAAAACAAGTCTTTTGGTGAATGATAAAAGCCTGACAAATGTAGTGCACACACAACCACAGACCAATACTGATAATATCAATGCAAAAATCCTAATGAAATATTCATTGGAATTGGGCAATATATTAATAATATATTACAACCAAATAAAACTAACTCATAGAGTGTAACTGTGATTCAGTGTTAAAACTGTTTTAAACACCACATTAATATGGTGGAAGAGAAAAATAATGATTTGCTCAATAAGCGCTGAGAGTCACTTGACAATTCAATATGCATTCCTGAACTAAAGAGATGAAACCCACAAATCTCAGTTAACTGGAATAGATGACCTTTTCCTTTACACGATGATCAAAAGCCAGCATCATGTTTCAAGGCAAAATAGGAAAAATGTTCCCAGGAATACCGAGCAAAAAAATATTATATAACATAGTTTTGGATGTTTAACTTAACGTAGACTATTAAGAGAACTATATAAGATGTATGAAAATGAGAAGAGGTAAAATGATCTTTATTTGCAATTTATATAATTGTGCACTTGAAAACTCCAAAGAACAACCAGAAAACTATTAAAATTCATAAAATAATTAGATAAGGCACTGGTTACAATATTTGTAATTCAAATCAGGATGTTTCCTATGTACAATCAGAAAACATAATGGAGGTAAACATTTCATTCACAAAAGCATTAACAGATGACATGCTTTGGAATAAACACTAAGAGACCTACCTGAAGAAAATTTGAAAATGCCACTGAAATACAAAACACTCGCATATACATGGATAGGAAGATTCAAAATTATAAAGATGTCACTTCTCCCTAAATTAATCTAGAGACTCAGTATGATTTCAATCCAAATGCCAACTCTCTGGGGGGCTGATATGAAATTGTCATACAACTTGAATAATAAACATGAGAATACAGTTGGCCCTTTGGTAAAAGATTGTCATAAAATCATTCAAAATACAACTTGAATATAACTGTGAGAATATAGTCAGCCCTTCATATCCATGGGTTCTGCATCCATGGATTCAACAAAGGAGGGATAAAAAATACTTCAAAAAGACTGTGTCTGTACTGAACATGTACAGACTTTTAAAAATGTCATTATTTCCTAAACAATACAGTATAACTATTTACATAGTATTAGATAGTCTCATCTAAGTAATCTAGAGATGATTTAAAACATACAGGAGGATGTGCATAGGTTATATGTGAATTCTATACCATTTTATACCAGGGACTTGAGCGTCTGTGGATTTTGGTATATGAGAGAGGTCCTAGGACCGGTTCCCCACAGACCAAGGGATGAGAGTACTTTGGAAAAACCTGAGACAGAAGAATGAGACCAGCCCTACCAGTTATTAAATTTCGAAACTACAGTTAACCAAAATAGCTTGGTACTGAACAGAAATAGAAATATCAGTGGCATTTCAAATCAGTGGGGGAAAAGGATGATTCAAAATTGTTGTGAAAATTTGCTAATTATTTGTGGGGAAATTGCATTCTGACATCATCACTTACATTTTTTTTTTGAGATGGAGTCTCACTGTCTCGCCCAGGCTGGAGTGCAATGGCACGATCTCGGCTTGCTGCAGCCTCCGCCTCAGCCTCCCAAGTAGCTGGGATTACAGGCACCCGCCATCATGCCCAGCTAATTTTTGTACTTTTGTAGAGATGGGGTTTCACCATGTTGGCCAGCCTGGCCTCAGGTGATCCGCCCGCCTCCGCCTCCCAAAGTGCTGGGATTACTGGCGTGACCCACTGTGCCCGGCCATCACCACTTACTTTAAAATGAATAATAGATGAAGCAAATTTCAAATATTAAAATATAATAAATTACTAGAAGAAAAACATATTTTTAGAATCTGAGAGTGGGTAAGGCCTTCTTAAGCCTAACCGAAAACAGAAGTCATAAAGAAAAAAACCCAAATAAATCTGGCTTCATAACGGGTTAAAATTTACCATACTATGAAAATAAATAAACGGCTATACAAACAAATGACAAACTGAGAAAAACTACAGCAGTACACATGAAGGGTTAATTTCCTAAATATACAATAAACTCCCACAAAATCACAATACAAATATAATCTAAGAGAAAAGTGGCAAAAGATATAAACAGGAAGCTTAATAGAAAAAGAAAGTTGTTCAACCTCACTCATAATTACATACAAAACTAGAAGCTGGG
This sequence comes from Homo sapiens, assembly GCF_000001405.40. NCBI lineage: Eukaryota > Metazoa > Chordata > Mammalia > Primates > Hominidae > Homo > Homo sapiens. The sequence goes on from NC_000001.11 coordinate 231,330,443, forward strand.
CATGGTGGCTCATGCCTATAATGGAAGCACTTTGGGAGGCCGAGGTGGGAAGATTGCTTGAGCCCAGGAGTTCAAGATCAACCTGGGCAACAAAGTGAACACCACCCCCCACAACCTCTGCCCTGTATGTATAGAAAAATTTAAAAATTAGCCAGGCAGGAGGATCCCTTGGGCCAGGCCAGGGAGGTTGAGGCTACAATGAGGCATGATAGCACCATCGCACTCCAGCCTGGGCGATACAGTGAGATCCTGGCTCAAAAAACAAACCAACCAACAAACAAAAATGAGAACAACCTAGAAGCTATTTTTTCACAGAGAAGATTAGTAACAATGAATATTATTACTAATAAGATGACTTTTTTTTGAGACAGGGTCTCGCTCTGTCCCCCAGGCTAGAGTGCAGTGGTGCTGTCATGGCTCACTACAGCCTCAACCTCCTGGGCTCAAGCAATCCTCCTGCCTCAGCCTCCCGAGTAGCTGGGACTTACAGGTGTGCGCCACCACGCCCGGCTAATTTTTCTATTTTTTGTAAAGACGGGGGTCTACCTATGCTATTCAGGCTGGTCTCGAACTCCTGGGCTTAAGCAATCCACTCTCCTTAGCCTGCCAAAGTGTTGGGATTACAGACTTGAGCCACTGTGCTTGGCAAGGCTACTCTTAATTAAACAGTGAATGAATACAGGTTTATAAGCATTCATGTAAACAGGTATTTTCCTATACTGTTGGAGAGAACTTAAAAATGATATAACCCTCCTGATGAGCAACTGGTAATGCTTAAATTTAAAATGTAATTTGGCAGAGCAATTTCTAAAAATACATCCCATAGATATATTCGCATAAGCGAATAGGAGGATGTGCATAGGTTTTCAGAATTTTTTTTTTGTAATCAACAAAACTTGAAGCCAACCAAGTAATTGGAAAATGCAAAATTATGATATATTCATTCACTGTGATTGACAACTACCCAATCACAGAAGAAAAACCCAGTGGGGTACAGCAAGAGGTACTGATACGAGATGTCTTAAAACACTGAACTGCTAAGTGACTAAAATCAAGATGCAGAACTGTATGCAGAGTATGATACAATTTCTGGAAAAATATGTACATGAAATTCTTACTAGTAGTTACCTCTAGTGAATGGGATTGTTGGGGGGATGAGGACTTTTATTTTTTACTTTAACTCTTCTGCACATTGCATATGGATTGAAGCTTGCTTTGTAGGCAAATGTGGCTTATTTACGCTTTTCCAAACTCTGCAATTCATCCAGGAAGGTCTCTTCATATGACACCCACATTCCCACTTCTGTGCCTTGGGCTCAGGTCCTACTCTTCCATTTTCTTTGCACATTTAAGTCTTGTCCATTCTTCAAGGACCCGCTCAAATGCCAACAATTCCATGAGAACTTTCTAAACTCCTTAAAAGTACACTGCTCTCTTCCTTCTTGGTATTTCCACTGTACACAGCTGTGCATTTGATTATTCTCTCACTTATATTTGTTGACTTTTTCCAATTTCTAAGCATCTTAAGAGGACGAAGTATGTTTAAAATTATTAAAATTCTTCTGCACTCCCACATTACAGTCAATATGAAGCATAGCATTCAATACTTTTAAATATGTGATAGTTTCCTCAGGATATACATATTACTTTCAAAAGGGCAAGCCTGGCCGGGCATGGTGGCTCACGCCTGTAATCTCAGCACTTTGGGAGGCCGAGGCGGGTGGATCACCTGAGATCAGGAGTTCGAGACCAGCCTGGCCAACATGTTGAAACCCCATCTCTACTAAAAATAAAAAAATTAGCCGGGCATGGTGGCGGGCCCCTGTAATCCCAGCTACTCAGGAGGCTGAGACAGGAGAATGGCTTGAACCCAGGAGGCAGAGATTGTAGCGAGCAGAGATCACGCCACTGCACTCCAGCTTGGGCGATATGGGAAGACTCTGTCTCAAAAAAAAAAAAAAAGGCCAAGCCTTGTCATTTAGTTCCTAGGTCTTGTGGCCTACATTTTATTTTCTTTATTTAGAGATGTGCAGATGGTATAAAATCTACTTTTTTATAATAAATTCACATTTTGTACCTCTGAAATTTTCCATTCGAGGGAATTTTAAAAAATTGAGATCTGATTTATTCACAATTCTGACGGTAAGCAGAACACTTACTTAATTTAGCAAACAGCTTCCTAAGTATCCTCCCCACATAAATAAAACAAAAAACTAGGGTCTTCAAAGAATATTTCAGTAACAAGAATATAAAAATATTGAATACCAACTAAAGAAGAGCAATAGATATAATATCTTAATATCACTTTTATCCAGTGTAAGACAATTTTTAAGCTTTATTTTTATGAAACATTTCAGATTCCCTCATATCACAGCACATCAATAAGCAGTATGTACATAGACTGACTTTTATAGTACATGTCATGTCCCAAATTCCCAATCCTAGGTAAGATATCAAGTTACAAAATACAAGTGCCGATAATTAAACTATAGGTAGTATATTAAACAAAAATGAGTTTTTAGCAATTATGTGAAATAAGGCTTTAACCAAAGCAAGACTTAATGCCACAAGGTGTCTTTTTTCCCCAAGAGTAATTAATTCAATCAAGCCCATGATTCCAAGCTCAAGTAACAAGTTTTATATTCTTGAAGCAAACAAGAAAAGGCAATCAATGCTTAAGTGGTATATTTTAGTATATATTACATTTCTGGACAATCTCTCATTGCATTCAATTTTTAGAACTTGTCTTGGGTCTAATAAAACAGAAGAATTAGAGAAGAAAGCCCATGCCACTTTGAGGAATGTAACATAATTGTTTTGTCTGGGTACAAAGGTACGTTACAACACTGGGGGTCTTTAGTCAAGTTCCCATACTAATTGACTCACCAAAGCATACTTCCTTCAGCTACAACTGTAATTGGAACACACAGATTTTACCTGAAGAAAATCCTGTACTTCCAGTTTTAAAAAGCAGACAATTCTATGAAGAAGCAACCATTTAAATATCTAACTATACACATTCAAGTTTTTACAACTTCATGCCTTATGAGGAATTTTGATTTCAGAAGTATCATTCCACAGACTCAGCATCATATATTTATACATATTTCATACAGTATAGTATTAGAAACTGTAAATGGCACAGAATAATCATAATTATCACAAAATTTTATCAATTTCCAGTGATCTTAAAAAGACAAATTATAACCGCCTTTGCTCAGCTAAGATATCCAGTTATGGTTACAACTTTCGAAAATCCTAAAGTTATGTGAAAAAAATTAGTCAAAGAAAATCTGTAAATCTGATACTTTCCAATATTTTAAATATGCACAGCTAAAGAGAAAATAAAGGGGTTGATCTGGCACATGAATAATTAAGTCAATGAATTTTACAACCCTGAGCCACTTTGGCAACTACTTTAGGTTTCACATAATTTTCACAGTCTTAGTACCACCATTTTCATTCAGATAAAAGAAATGACCTTTTGAAATCATGGGCATCAAATTTGGTGCTTATGGACAAGAATCACAACTAGAAGCTAGAGACAAAATGGATCACAGCAAGCACAGTTTCCCTCAAAGAATAAGGAACGCTATAGAATATACAACAGCGATAGTTTAGAAACCTTGGGAAGCTCACATTTCTTTAGTTATTTTGTTTTACTAAACAATTTGAAGTAAGCATTATATTCATGTTTAAAAACAAAGCAAGGAAAAATAAAAAATGAAACAAAAATGCAGCATGGAACATTTTAGGAGTCACAGAAGGTTCTCTTCTTCCCTTTGTTTTGGGCACATTGTCTCACCTGTTTTCACTTTGTTACAAAAGGAAACAAAACCAAATCTCTGCTCAGAGTGGTCATAGTGAGAACACTGAGATTTGCATATGTTTTTCTACTTTCCCATCCATCTAGACCCTGAAATCTAAATAAATATTTCAGTTAAAACTTTTTTTCCATTTGCATGAAGTCTGGGTCACTATATCTCCTACCCTGAATGGGGGAAGATGGGACAGCTATATCTCATACTGAAGCGGTGGCAGCTAAAACCTGGCAACTGCTGCCAGTGTCCCCAATGTGTCTTGCTTATTATTTTTTAAAATGTGACAAAGACAAAAGCTACAGCTGGAAACTCACACAATTTAGAAATATGTTGAAAACTTTTATTATAGTCCTTAGGATTTCCAAGTAAATGCTCCCAAATCAAGTATTACAAAGCTGCTAATTAATTAGCAACTGAAAATTAGCCATTCAAATTATATTGGAAATATTTGCTGAATTGTTTTTATGAAAGCTTCCTCTTGGATTCTGTAAGGATCAGAGTATCTGAATCCACAAACCAGCTAGTTTCAAGAAAGAATTCTTTTGACTAAAACTTACCTTAAAACCAATTTTCCCAACTCTTTTCCTTTTCCCAAATAGTCCAACGTTTTGAGGAGAAATATATGAGGCAGGTTGTTTTATACGGCACTGTACCCTTTAGGAAACCTAACATTTCAGTGAACTGGGAAACTTCACAACATAAACTCTATGTATTTATAGATATTATGACTGCTGTATAATATATACTGTGGGGAAAAAAAAAAAGAAGAAAGAAAAGACTAGCCTGGGCAACATGGCGAAACCCCATCTCTACAAAAAATACAAAAATTAGCTGGGTATGGTGGTGCCTGCCTGTGGTTCCTGCTACATGGGAGGCTGAGGTGGGAGGACTACCTGGGCCCGGGAGGTCAAGGCTGCAGTGAGTCGAGACTTTGCCACTGCACTCCAGCCTGTGCGACGGGGTGAGACCCTGTCTCAAAAAAAAAAAAGAAAAAAGAAAAGTTTTATCAAAGGATAAAACCGAAATGCTATAGTATATAGTGTGACCATAATTTCAGAAGAAGAGAATTAGCATAATTTAAAAGGATAGCTAGCATACTATACGTTTTAATAATTCCAGTATTTTTGTTACTTGGGCTTAATTTAACTTATTTTCCTCTTTTTGATTTTTGTATTTTTAAGAGGGCACTTTTAATTTTCAAGTTGTGTTTGAAACTATAGAGTATGCTAATACAACTTAATATAAATATAAATAATATATAAGCTCTCTCTCTGCATATATACACATATAAACAGACCCAAGCATTAGACCACTGATGTTGTACTTTCAGGATTCACACGAATAAGTCTAGATGCATTCCTCAGATCTTGGAG